>NC_000004.12:111042593-111194108 GCF_000001405.40 Homo sapiens
ATGTGCTCTTTCCACATGTTGGCCGGCAATAATAGCTGAAGGGTGTAGAAGCATGTGAAGATACAATTTCATTTTTCCCAAAGCTTTGTTGGAGGTATAGAAGAAAGTCTAGACATGATACTGGATTAAGAACTAACAACAAGAAGTTAGTGGATTATAATAGCAGGAAAGAATAATCTTCTGAATACTTTGTTGGGCTTACCTTGTATGTCAAATGTCAGCTCTTTTTTCTGCATATTTTCTGAAGACAATAGCATTGTTGATAGTTTTGCCTGAGCATTTGCAAGGATGCTTTGTTGAAACCAGTCTGCCTTTGGCACATGGAGGCAGGACTGCAGTTGAAAGAGCAGAAAGGAAATGCCAGGGAAGTTTCTCCAAAACTATAATATTTGTTTACATTTTCGTGTGGGTGAGAGAAATGAAGCCACTTGTTAAGTGACAGAGTATTGAAAACATACGTCACAAGATGTTACTGCCATAAAAACTTAAAATTTACACTGTTTTATGGAACCTGGCACAAGGTGTACCCACTTTGGGTTACCCATCCTATCGGGTCTGCTTGGTTGAGGAGGCTTATTAGAAGATTGTGTGATGATGAGAAGAGAAATAAAGAAGCCGAAGGATGACTTTCCCAGAGTTGTACTTTACAAACACTTCAGACAAGTTGCCCCAGATCTTTAGAGGGATAAGCCATTCTCCTGTAACCTCTTGCCTTTTTATGCTCTCCTTTCACCATTTCTACAACATAGGCTCAGGGAAGACAAAGTATATAGATTTCCTTTGAGAATCCTGGCAGAATAAGGTATAATGTTAGGAGCAAAATGTGCTTCGGGGGGGTTTTACATGTGTGATACTAGCACTCTACATATAGACTTTTCAAAACTTGTCACGTGACTTTCAGAAACTAACAGCCGTCCAGATGATAAACATTTACCCAGTATGGGACTGTACACCATTCCTTATTTTTAAATTTCATTTCCTATTTTCTGCCTTAGGCTGAAATGGTGATTTTTAAAGTGAATAAGATTCTAATCATAAGTCATCCTTAAATATTATGCGATCTTTTTAAATGCAGAGCGAAGGCAATATCCTGGGTAATTACCTTGGTAGTTCAATTGTCCTCTCTTTGCAAATTGTCTCTAAAAGACAAGTAAATTTAGTGTGCAGGTGCACTTTGCCTGACCTGTGTATCTCTCTGATCATGATCATTTAACCTACTTATCTGCTTGTGGAATTTCACTGTTTAAAGATTATTCTTCTTTCTGTCCAAATGATGTATAGGCATGTTGTACTTTATTAAAGAGTTACCACTTGTCACTGCAAAGCTATCTGCATTCCTATGGTAGTTAAAATGATTAGAATAGACTTCGTATTTATAGCTATACAGGTAATACCATAAATAGAAGACATGATGATTATAGTCTCTCTCTTTCATATTTCAGTTGGTCATAATTTCCTCAAAACCTTTTTTTTCTGGGCAAAAATTCATACTAGGTACTTTCTTTGCCCCTCTTTCAACATAGTTGAGTTGAATTACATAAGCCATTTGAAATTATTCAAATATAAAATAAATGCAATCATTTTTCTCCTAAGAAAATGGTTTTGAACTATATGTCATTCCTTTAACTTAAAGCCAATAGAAGGTATAAACTTCAATTTTTGCATGATTATAGTCCTCATGAAGGAAGGAGAACAGAGCCAAGTCTAAAGAATAACAATTAAATATTTTTTTAAATGCTGAAAATTATAGTTTTATGTCGTTGCATATTTTTAGTTCTGTTAAACCATCTTATTGACTTTATAAGTCATTTCATTTCATGTTTTCAAAGATATAAAGAGGCTGAAATAAGGCATGGCCAATGAAATGTACCTTAAATACAGAAAAAATATCTAACTCACTTCCTGATTTAAAAATAATTTATTTGGGGCCATTGCAGCTAGACAGTGATGTTATGATATACATGTGTCTTAGGCTGATAATGCTATATACACTACTAAGAATGGATTCCATAGAAAGAAGAGTCCTCAGGAAATCTAATCAGCTGTTGTTGAATAGTTGGGGTAAACTGACCAGCAGTTATGGGATAGGAAATAAAAGAATTGCTGAAACTTTTCTTGTATCTTAAATGGATAAAGATTAGAAATTTGATTTTGGAAGCAAAGAAGAAAGAGGAATTGAAGGTGACCCAGGGTTTAATTTAAGATCTGAAAAACTCTGGGTATTGCAATGTCATTCACCCCTGTGAAATGCAGAAGGGAATTAGGTTTTGAAAGGAAGATGCATTCTCCCTGGACATGATGAGTCTCAGGTCCATATAATATATTGTTGTAGTCACATGTAGACAGCTAGAAATGTAGAACAGGAACATGCGTTAAAAAATCAAATGAAGGCCTGGCTCTGTGGCTCACACCTGTAATCCCAGCACTTTGGGAGGCCAAGGCAGGTGGACAACTTGAGGTCAGGAGTTGAAGATCAGCCTGGCCAACATGGTGAAACCCCATCTCTGCTAAAAATAACAAAAAGTTAGGCGGGTATGGTGATGCGTGCCTGTAATCCCAGCTATTCGGGAGGCTGAGGAAGGAGAATCACTTGAACCCAGGAGGCGGAGGTTGCAGTGAGCTGAGATCATGCCATTGCACTCCAGCCTGGGCAACAATGGTGAAACTGTCTAAAATAAATAAATAAATAAATAAAATAAAATAAAAAACTCAAATGAAATAGAAAATCACAAGCAGAGTTATAGACTAGAAAGTCCTTAGGACTCTAAGGAGAGTTCTCTGAGGAGGAAGAGGAAGACTTCCACGTGAAGCTGGCGAGGATAGCAGAAGCATCCAACTCTTCCTGCTACCCTGATGCTTCTCTTCTGTTCGTAGATTCCAAAGAAAATAGAAATTAAATGGACAAAAATGTGTTTTCATGGGGGATATAAATCATTACAAAGTCTAGAAAATGTGTTCCACTTGATTCCTCCTTTGTACTTGACCTTGCTTTGTTTTTCTATCTAACATTTCTGTCTGCCATCAAATACATTTACATGTTTATGTGTTTGTAGTCTGACCTCTCCGTATTAGGTATATAAGAGGATACATAAATCGTGAGGTTCAAGATTTATATGCTTCTATCATAGTATCCTCAGCTCTCAAAAAATAATTGTTAAATGAATATAAGTTCCATGACAAAACTTGGAGAAACTTCAGTTAGCTATGAAAGGCATAGAAATTGAAAAGGGGAGTGAGAATCTTCTAAATTCCCTTTACTCTGGCAAAACATCATTTATGGGCATTCATGAAGGACATTATGGCAAAAGTCAATTTACCTAATCATAGTGGTAAGAGCAGATTAGAGAAAAAGCAGATGTAGAAGATATGAATGAAGTTGGTGAAGATTCCACATAGAGTGGACACCTGCAGTAGCTGAAAATCTAGTAATGGGGTTTCCACTTGAAGGAACAGCTAGAGGAATAGAAAAGTTTCACCTGGGCTACCTTGCAGAGTGGATTGCTGCCCTAGCAAAAACCTGTTACGCTTCTTCCCAACAGTACCACAAACAATGAGAAACTGCATCACATGGTTTTCTCCTCCAGGGGGCTAGAATAAAATGAGCAGAAAATTTTTACAATGATAGAGAAAAGTACTAGACCTATCAAAATATACAGGAGTCAGCAATTACACCTAAGTATCAAAGGGGACATCACGTTTATGAAACTAAATCTGGTTTCCAATAAAAACATAATATATGATTGGTAAAGGCTGTACAGTAATAAAAATACACATTTGTGGAATTAAAAGCCATACTGGAGGCTATAGAAAGGATATGAAATACTTGCAAAACTAGAATTAACAAAATAGAAAGTGAACTAATGATTTTTTTATATTCAGAAGAGAAGAAAATTGATGAATGAGAAAAAGAGAGACATGAAACAGAAGAAAATTGATGAATGAGAAAAAGAGAGACATAAAACAGATTCAGAAAATACAATTCACATAAGGAAATCCTAAAAAGATTATAAATTAATAAATGTTTTTCAAAAGAAAAAATTATCTATTGATCTATCTATATCTATGTTTGGTGATCTATTTATCATGTTTTTGTTCTTTTGAAAGCAATTTTATATATATAAAATTATCTATATGTAATTGATGTATAATATATAATTATTATATATTATATATAATATATATAGTAGTGGAATTATATATTCCGACTACTAGTGAAATAAACTTTTAACTTTCAAATCATTACAGCAAAGAAAATGTATTATATATTACGAGAAGGAAGGGATTTTAAAGTAAAAAGTAGGCGGAAAAAAAGAAGAGAAATGAAAACACAGAGACTGGCTAATATATAACCTGTAGTGTTTGAGAGATATGGTGGCAATGGTAATCATAAACTGTGAGGTGGGGTTAGTCAACCATCAACTCAAGGCAAGTCATCTATGACCCAGAGCCCATTGAAGGGGAGGCCAGGACACCTTGGGAAAGACATTACAATGACACAGCTAGTGTATATAGTAGTACTTCCCTTGATTATTCACCAGAGATCTACAGCCATTTAACAAAGTCACTCTCCTCTAGGGAAATATGTTCTGATGGAAGCATGCTCAACAAGAAGGCAGTAAACTAAGAAAGAGGAAGACCTGGGAAGTAAAAAGTAGAAGAGTCATGTAGAAAAATATTGAAAGAAAGTCCCAGAATGAATACTTTGGGTCTTGGCCAAAGCAGGAGAACAAATTATGTAGGACGACCTTTAGAAACTAAGTAAAGTAATTTGATCATTTGGGAGAAAATATGACTGAAAAGAGTTTTACAGTTCTGATAGGACATCAAGTAAAAAATGTATATGTACATAATAAAGTTAGGTATATAACAAAAAACATGAGGTAGTATTTAAGAATAGATTAACATTGTAAAAAATATAATTCACTTCCTGGTGTTATATTAAAATTTGTATTTAGTTAAAATAGTTGAATAAATAATTTAACTAAATGTTGATTTTAAAAATACTTGGAAAATAAGGAAAGGTATTATGAATGTGCTACCTGAATTCTCTCCAATCACATGGAAAGCCATAAATATTTATTAAGGATTTCTTTCAGATTTCAGAAATCAGATTTCTGAAATATACATATATCACAGTTGATTTGTGTATTTAATGACCTGGCACTTACTCCTTTTCAATATATTGACAAGAGAATTCTGTTTTATAATCAAATAAATGGAACTTAACAAAACGTAAATATTGATAAAAACTTAAATGTTTGAAATTTTTTAAAAGATTTGCAAAATAATTTTTGCCATAGAAGATAGTAAAACCATATGACATGTCATATAAAAAATAAAAAAATTAATTTTGAGGAGGAGATAAAGCAAGATGGCTGAATAGCAGCCTCCAGTGATCATGACCCCTGCAGGAACACCAAATTGAATAACTATCCACACAAAAAAGCACATTCATAAGAACCGAAAATCAAGTAAATGATCATAGCACCTGATTTAAGATCTTATTAAGGAAGGAGGCACTGAGGAGGTAGGAAAGACAGCCTTGAATTGCTGCTGCTACCTACCCCTCCCCCCCAACCTCCAAGTGACATGAAGAAAGAGTCTGTGTGCTTAGCGGAGGGAGAGCACAGTGATTGTGGGACTTTGTGCTGGAACTCAGTGCTGCCCTGTCACAGCAGAAAGCAACACAAGGCAGAACTCTGCCCACCAAGGGAGCATTTAGACCATCCCTGGCCAGAGGCAAAACATCCATCCCAGTGGTCAGAACTTAAGTTCTGGCAAGCCCTGCCACCATAAGCTGACGTGTTCTGGGGTCCTAAGTAAATTTGAAAGGCAGTCTAGGCTACAACGGCTGCAGTTCCGGGGCAAGTTATTGTCCTGTGCTGGGCTCAGAGCCAGTGGACTTGGGGAGCATGCAACCTAGTGAGACATTAACTGGGGTGGCCAAGGGAGTGCTTGCATCACTCATCTCCCAACCCTGGGAAGTGCAGCTCACAGCTCCAGGAGAGACTCCTTTACTCTGCTTGAGGAGAGAAGAAGGAAGAGTAAAGAGAACTCTGTCTTGCAACTTGTATACCAGAGTAGCAACAGTAGAATAGGGCACGAGGCAGAGCGCTGAGGCCTTGATTTCAGGCCCTAGCTCCTGGACAACATTTCTAAACTCACCCTGGGCCAGAATGGAAACTGCTCTCTTGAAGGAAAGGACCCGGTCTTGGCAGAATCCATCACATTTTACTAAAGAGCCCTGGGGCCCTGACTAATCAGCAGTAGTAGCAAGAGAGTACTTGTAACAAGCCTTGGGTGAGACTCAGAGCTGTGCTGGCTTCAGGTGTGAACCAGTACATTCCCCGCTGTGGTGGCTATGGGGCGAGACCCCATCTGCTTGAGGAAAGGAGAAGGAAGAGTAAAGGGGACTTTGTCTTGCAGCTTGGGTGCTAGCTTGGCCACAGTTGGGTAGAGCACCAGGTGGGATCCTAGGATCCTTAATTCCAAGCCTTGGCTTCTGGATGGCATTTCTGGACCTGCCCTGGGCCAGAGGGGAGCCCACTTCTCTGAAGAGAGAACCTCGGGTCTGGCAGCATTCACCACAAGCTGACTGAAGAGCCCTTAGGTCTTGAGTGATCATCAGCAGTAACCAGGTTACTACTTGCCACCAGCCTGAGGTGGTAGTGGGCATGGGGAGAGACTCCTCAGCTTGAGGAAAGGAGAGAAAAGAGTGGGAAGGACTTCGTTTCATTCATGGCTTGGGTGCCAGATCACTCAAAGTAGAATAGAGCACCAGGTAGATTCCTAAGCTTCTTGACTCCAAGGCCTGGCTCATGGATAACATCTTTGGACCCACCTGGGGCCAGGAGGAACCCTCCACCCAGAAAATAAGGACAAAAGCCTGGCTGCATTTGCCACCTGTTGATTGTAAAGGCCTAAGGCCTTAAGTAAACATAGGTGGTAGCCAGGCAGTGGTCACTGAGGGCTTTGGGTGAAACCCAGTGCTATGCTGGCTTTACATCTGACCCAGCACAGTCCCAGTAGTGATGACCACAGGGGTACTTGTGTCATCCGTCTCCCATCTCCAGGAAATTCAACACACACACACACACACACACACACACACAGAGAGAGAGAGAGAGAGAAGCCAGAGACTCTGTTTGAGAGGAACTAAGGGAAGAGAACAAGAGAATCTCCCTGGTAATCCAGGGAATTCTGGATCTTACCCAAGGCCACCAAGGCGTTACTTCTACTAGTCTGCAAGAGCCACAGTATTGCTGAGCTTGGGATGTCCCCTAAAGTAGATATGGCTGTGGTGACCAAAGATCTAGATCACAACACCCAAGTTTCTCTGAATACCTGGAAAGCCTTCCCATGAAAGATGTGTACAAATAAGCCCAGATTATGAGGACTATAATAAATACCTAACTCTTCAATGCCCAGACACCAACAAATAGCTACAAGCATCAAGACCATCTAGGAAAACATGACCTCACCAAATAAACTAAATAAGGCACTAGTGACCAATCCAGGAGAGACAGAGATATGTGACCTTTCAGAAAGAGAAGTCAAAATAGCCATTTTGAGGAAACTCAATGAAATCCAAGATAACACAGAAAAAGAATTCAGAATACTATCAGATAAATTTTGAAAGAGATTGAAATAATTAAAAAGAATAAAGCAGAAATTCTGGAGCTGAAAAATGTGATTGGCATTCTGAAGAATGCATCAGAGTCTTTAATAGCAAAATTGATTAAGAAGAAGAAAAAATTGGTGAGCTTGAAGCCAGGCTACTTGAAAATATAGAACGAGACGAGAAAAAAGAAAAAAGCATACAAAAGAATGGAGCATGCCTACAAAATCTCAAAATAACCCCAAAAGGGCAAATCTAAGAGCCTTTGGCATTAGGATGGAGGTAGAGAGATAGGTTAGGGTAGAATGTTTATTCAAAGGGATAATAACAAAGAACTTCCTAAAACTAGAGAAAGATATCAATATTCAAGTACAAGAATGCTATAGAGCACCAAGTAGATTTAACCCAAGAAAGACTACCTCAAGACATTAATAATCAAACTCTCGGCCGGGCGCAGTGGCTTAAGCCTGTAATCCCAGCACTTTGGGAGGCTGAGGGGGGGTGGATCACGAGGTCAGGAGATCAAGACCATCCTGGCTAACACGGTGAAACCCCGTCTCTACTAAAAATACAAAAAAAAAAAAAAATTAGCCAGGTGTGGTGGCGGGCGCCTGTAGTCCCAGCCACTCAGGAGGCTGAGGCAGGAGAATGGCATGAACCCGGGAGACGGAGCTTGCAGTGAGCCAAGATTGTGCCACGGCACTCCAGCCTGGGCAACAGAGCAAGACTCCGTCTCAAGAAAAAAAAAAAAATAGTTAATCAAACTCTCTGGTATGGTTTGGTTCTCTGTCACCACCCAAATCTCATATTGGACTGTACTCCCATAATTCCCACGTGTTGTGGGAGGGACCCACTGGGAGATAATTTGAACCATAGAGGCAGTTTCCCCCATACTGTTCTCATGTTAGTGAATAAGTCTCATGAGATCTGATGGTTTTATCAGGGGTGTCTGCTTCTGCATCTTCCTCATTTTCTCTTGTCACTGCCATGTAAGAAGTGCCTTTCATTTCCCACCACGATTCTGATGCCTCTCCAGCCATGTGGAACTATAAGTCTTGATTATGTCTTTATCAGCAAATTGTAGATACATAAAAATATATAATTTGTAAATTACACTGTAAAAACAGCGTAATTGGTACCAGTAGAGTAGGGCATTGCTGAAAAGATAACTGAAAATGTGGAAGTGACTTTGGAACTGGGTAATAGGCAGAGATTGAAACAGTGTGGAGGGCTCAAGGGAAGACAGGAAAATGGGAGAAAGTTGGGAATTTCTTAGAGACTTGTTGAATGGCTTTGACAAAGCTACTAATAATGATATGGACAATGGAATCCAGGCTGAGGTGGTCTCAGATGGATATGAGGAATCTGTTGGGAACTGGAACAAAGATGATTCTTGCTATGTTTTAGCAAAGAGATTGGTGGCATTTTGCCCTACCCTAGAGATTTATGGAACTTTGAACTTGAGAGAGAAGACTTAGGGTATCTGGAAGAAGAAATTTCTAATCAGCAAAGCATTCAAGAGATGACTTGGGTGCTGGTAAAGGCATTCAGTTTTAAAAGAGAAATGGAGCATAGAAGTTTGGAAAATTTGCAGTCTGACAGTTTGGTAGAAAAAATCCCATTTTCTGAGGAGAAATTCAAGCCAGCTGCAGATATTTGCATAAGTAATGAGGAGCCATATGTTAATCCCCAAGACAATGGGGGAAAATGTCTCCAGGACATGTCAGAGACCTTTGTGGCAGCCTCTCCCATCACAGACCTGGAGGTCTAGGAGAAAAAAATGGTTTTGTGAGCAGGGCCCAGGGTCCCTGTGCTGTGTGTGTCCTAGGGACTTGGTGCCCTGTGTCCCAGCCACTCCAGCCATTGCTGAAAGGGGCCAATGTAGAGCTCAGGCCATGGCATCAGAGGGTGCAAGCCCTAAGCCTTGGCAGCTTCCATGTGGTGTTGAGTGTGCCAGTGCACAGAAGTCAAGAATTGGGGTTTGGGAACCTCCACCTAGATTTCAGAAGATGTATGGAAATGCCTGGATGCCCAGCCAGAAGTTTGCTGCAGGGGCAAGCCTGTCATGAAGCACCTTGGCTAGGGCAGTACAGAAGGAAAATGTGGGATCAGAGCCCCCACACAGAGTCCCTACTGGGGCACTGCCTAGTGGAGCTGTGAGAAGAGGGCCGCCATTCTCCAGACCCCAGAATGGTAGATCCACCTACAGCTTGCACTGTGTACCAAGAAAAGCCACAGACGCTCAATGCCAACCTGTGAAAGCAGCTGGGATAGAGGCTGTACCGTGAAAAGCCACAGAGGCAGAGCTGCCCAAGACCATGGGAACCCACCTCTTGCATCAGCGTGACCTGGATGTGAGAGCTGTAGTCAAAGGAGATCATTTTGGAGCTTCAAAATTTGACTGCCCTGCTGGATTTTGGACTTGCCTGGGGTCTGTAGCCCCTTTGCTTTGGCCAATTTCTCCCATTTGAAATGGCTGTATTTATCTAATACCTGTACCTTCATTGTATCTAGGAAGAAACTAGCTTGCTTTTGATTGTACAGGTTCATAAGCAGAGGGGCTTGCCTTGTCTCAGATGAGACTTTGGACTGTGGACTTTTGGGTTAATGCTGAAATGAGTTAAGACTTTGGGGGACTGTTGGGAAGGCATGATTGATTTTGAAATGTGAGTACATGAGATTTGGAGGGGCTAGGGGAGGAACGAGATGGTTTGGCTCTGGGTCCCCACCCAAATCTCATCTTGAATTGTACTTCCATAATTCCCATGTGTTGTGGGAGGGACCCAGTGGGAGGTAATTTGAATCATGGGGGCAGTTTTCCCCATACTGTTCTCATGGTAGTGAATAAGTCTCACGACATCTGATGGTTTTATCAGGGGTTTCTGCTGTTGCATCTTCCTAATTTTCTCTTACCATTGCTATGTAAGAAGTACCTTTCACCTCTTGCCATGATTCTGATGCCTCCTTAGCCATGTGGAACTGTAAGTCAAATTAAACCTCTTTTTCTTCCCAGTCTTGGTTATGTCTTTATCAGCAGCATGAAAACAAACTAATACACTCCCAAAGGTCAAGGATAAAGAAAGGATCTTAAAAGCAGCAAGAGAAAAGAAACAAATAACATACAAAGGAACTCCAATACATCTGGCAGCAGAATTCTCAGTGGAAACTTTATAGGTTGGGAGAGAGTGGTATGACATACTTTTATCCCAGAATAGTATATCCAACAAAACTGTCCTTCAAACATGAAGAAACAAAGTATTTCCCAGACAAACAAAAGCTGAAGGACTTCATCAACACCAGACCTACAAGAAATGCTAAAGAGAGTTCTTTAATCTGAAAGAAAAGGATGTTAATGAGCTATAATAAATCATTTGAAAGTACAAAACTCACTGGTAATAGCAAGTACACAGAAAAACACAGAAGGTTATAACACTGTAATTGTGGTGTGTGAACCACTTATATCTTGAGTAGAAAGACTAAAAGATGAACCTTTTAAAAATAATAACTACAAAAACTTTTCAAGATATTGTATAATAAGATATTTAGAAACAAAAAGTTAAAAAGCAGAGAAAAGAAGATAAAGTGTAGAGATTTTATTAGCTTTATCTTTGCTTGTTTTTTGGTTATTTAGTTCATGCAATCAGTGTTGTCATCGGTTTAAAATAATGGGTTATATTATTTGCAAACCTCATGGTAATCTCAAATCAAAAAACATACAAAAGATATCTAAAAAATAAAAAGCAAGAAATGGAAACAAATCACCAGAGAAAGTCTTCACTAAAAGGAAGAGAAGAAGAAAGGAAAGAAGGACAAGAATACCACAAAACAACCAGAAAACAAGCAACAAAATGGCAAAAGTCCTTACATATTAATAATAACATTGAATGTAAATGGACTAAACTGTCCAATCAAAAGACAAAGAATGGCTGAGTGGATGAAAAGAAATCAAGACCCAATGATCTGCTGCCTACAAGAAACAGACTTCACCTACAAAGGCAAACATAGGGTGAAAAAATATTTCATGCAAGTGAAAACCAAAAAATAGCAGAAATCGATATAGTCATTCAGACAAATAGATTTCAAGACAAAAACTAGAAAAAGTGGCAAAGGTCATTATATAATGATAAAGTGGTCAATTCAGCAAGAGGATATAACAATTATAAATTTATATGCACCCAACTGGAACACCCACATATATAAAGCAAATATTAGTGCTGAAGAGATAGACCTCAGTACAATAGCAGTTGGAGACATCAACACCTGATTTTCAGCATTAGACAGAGCATCCAGAAAAAAATAATAAACAAGGAAACACTGGACTTAATCTGCACTATAGACCAAATGGACCTAATAGTTGTTTTCAGAACATTCATCCAATGAATCCAGAATACACATTCTTCTCCTCAGCACATGGATCATTCTCAAGGATAGAACATATGTTAAGCTACAAACACATCTTAAAAAATTCAAAAAAAAAATTATATCAAGTATCTTCTCTAACAACAAAGGTAAAAAACTAGGAATCAATAACAGGAAAAATGTTGGAAACTATACATACAACACATATAAATTAAACAATGTGCCCTGAAAGGACCAGTAGGCCAATGAAAAAATTAAGAAAAAAATTGAAAAAAAATTTTAAACTAATGCAAATGGAAATACAACATATGGAAACCTGTGGGATACAGCAAAAGCAGTACTACAAGGAATGTTTATAGCAATAGGCAACTATATCAAAAAAGCAGAAAAACTTCAAATAAACAACCTAATGATGCATCGTAACAAACTTGAAAGCAAGAGCAAACCAAAATCAAAATTAGTAGAAAAAAAGAAATAATAAATATCAGAGCAGAAATAAATGAAGCTGAAACAACAACAAAAAAAGCAATAGCAAAGATCAATGAAACAAAAAGTTGGTTTTTCAAAAAGATAAACAAATTTGACAAAACTTTAGCCCAACTAAGAAAAAAACAGAGAAAACCCAAGCAAATAAAATCAGGGATAAAAAGGGAAACCTTACAACCAATGCCATAAAAATTTGAAGAATCATTGGAGAGTAATATGAGCAACTATATGCCAATAAATTGGAAAACTGGGAATAAATGGATAAATTCCTAGACACATATCACCTACCAAGATTGAACCATGAAGAAATTAAAAACCTGATAAGACCAATAATAAGCAATTAGATTAAAGTTGTAATAAAATTCTCCCTGCAAAGAAAACCTCAGAACCACATGGCTTCACTGCTGAATTTTAGCAAACATTTAAAGAAGAACTAATACCAATCCTACTCAAACTATTCTGAAAAACAGAGGGAAAGAATACTTCCAAATTCATTCTACAAGGCTAGTATTACCCTGATATCAAAACCAAGCAAAGACACTTCAAAAAAGAAAATTACAGGCCAATATCCCTGATAAACATTGATGCAAAAATTCCAAACAAAATACTAGCAAACTGAGTTCAACAACACATTAAAAAGATCATTCGTCATGACCAAGTGGGATTTAAGGGATGCAAGGATGATTCAACATATGCAAATTAATCAACAAGATACATCACATCAACAGCATGGAGGACAAAAACATATGATCATTTCAACTGATGCTAAAAAGCATTTGATAAATTTCAATATCTCTTCGTAATAAAAAGACTCAAAAACTGAGGATAGAAGGGACATACCTCAACACAATGAAAGTCATATATGATATACCTACAGTTAGTGTCATTCTGAAAAACTAAAAGCCTTTCCTCTAAGATCTGGAATATGGCAAGGATGCCCACCGTCACCACTGTTACTCAACATAGTACTGGAAGTCCTAACTAGACCAATCAGACAAAAGAAAGAAAGAAAGTGCATCCAAATTGGAAAGGAAAAAGTCAAATTATCCTTGTTTGTAGATAATATGGTCTTATATTCAGAAAAACCTAAAGACTGTGCAGAAAAACTATTCAAACTGATAAATTCAGTAAATTTGTAGGATGTACAATCAACTTACAAAAATCAATAGCATTTCTATATGCCAATACTGAACAATCTGACAACAAAATCAAGAAAATAATCCCACTTATAATAGCTACAAATAAAATAAAATACCTGGGAATAAATTCAACCAAAAAAGGGAAACATCTCTGCAATTAAAGCTATAAAATATTTTTCAAGAAATTGAAGAGGATACACAACAAATGGCAAGATATTTCATGTTTATGGATTGGAAGAATCAATATTGTCAGTGTCCACACTACTCAAAGCAATTTATAGGTTCAATCAATTTCTTTAAAAGTACCAATGATATTCTTCACAGAAATAGGAAAAAACACCCTAAAATTTCTGTAAAACCACAAAAGACTGGAGGAATCACATTGTCTGACTGCAAATTATACTACAAAGCTATAGTATCCAAAACAGCCTGGTACTGGCATAAAAGCACACACATAGACCAATAGTACAGAATAGAGAACACAGACGCAAATGCACACACCTACAGTGAACTCATTGTTGACAAAGCTGCCTAGGTTATTCACTGAGGAAAGGACAACCTCTTCAATAAATAGTGCTTGGAAAATTGGATATCCATATGCAGAATAATGAAACTAGACTCCTATCTCTTGTCATATACAAAAATCAAATCCAAAATGGATTAAAGACTTAAATCAAAGACCTAAAACTATGAAACTACTATAAGAAAACATTGGGGAAACTATCCAGGACATTGATCTGGGCAATGATTTAAATAATAGCCCACAAGCACAGGCAACCAAAGCAAAAATGGACAAATCTGATCACACAAAGTTAAAAAGCTTCTGCACAGCAAAGAAAACAATCAACAAAGTAAGGAAACAACCCACAGAATGGGAGAAAATATTTGCAAGCTATTATCTGAAAAAGGATTAATAACCAGAGTATATATGGCACTCAAACAACTCAATAGGAAAATAAATCTAACAGTCTGATTAAAAATGAGCAAAGGTGTCAATAGGCATTTCTCAAAAGAAGACATATAAATGGCAAACAGATATATGAAAAGGTGCCCAACATAACTGATCATCAGGAAAATGCAAATCAAAACTACAGTAAGATATTGTCTTCCTTAAAGTGGTTTTTATCCAAAAGATAGGCAATAGCAAATGCTGACAAAGACGTGGAGGAAAGAAAAGTCTTCTACACTGTTTGGTGGAATGTAAATTAGTGAAACCACTATGGACAATAGTATGTAGGTTTCCCAAAAATTAAAAATAAAACTGTCATACGATCTAGCAATCCTACTGGTAGATATATACCCAAAAGAAAGGTAATCAGTGTATTGAAGATGTATTTGCACTCTCACGTTTATTGCAGTACTATTCACGATAGCCATGATTTAGACCAATCTAAGTATCCATTAACCGATGAATAGATAAGGAAAATGTGGTATGTATACACAATGGTGTACTATACAGCTATAAAAAAGAGACCCTGTCATTTGCAACCACATGTTTGGAACTAGAGGACATTATGTGAAGTGAAATAGGCAAAACACAGGAAAACAAACTTTGCATGTTCTTACTTATTTGTAGGACCTAAGAAAAGTAAAACGATGACTGAATTCTTGAAGATAGTAGAAAAATGGCTACCAGAGATTTGGAAGGGTAGTGGGAGGGGAGACGTGGAGATGGATAATTGGTAAAAAAATAAATAAGACTTAGTATTTTATAGTACAACAGGATGAGTGCAGTCAATAATAATTTATTGTACATTGAAAAATAACTAAAAGAGTACAATTGGATCACTTGTTACACTAAGGAAGGATAAATGTTTGAGGTGGTGGACACCCTATTTACCCTGCTGTGATTATTATGCATTGTATGCCTGTGTGAAAATATCTCATGTACCCCATAAATATATACATCTACTTTCTACCCACAAAAATTAAACATAAAATAAATAATGAATCAATTCACTAAATAACATATCTCAATATTAAAAATCAATATTTAAAACAGAAAAGAGAATAAAAGACTATCTTTTTTGCCTTGTAATATGGAAAATTCCTAAGCAAAACACAAAATTCTGAAGCACACAGGAACAAATCAAAAGATTTACTCACACAAAAATAAATATATGTATACATTGACAAACTCCAGGTTAGCTTCCCAAGTAGCTGGAACTATAAGTGTGTGCCATCACTTCTGGCTAGTCTTAATAACTTTTTTGTAGAGACAGAGTCTAGCTGTGTTTCTCAGACTGGCCTCAAACTCCTGGCCTCAAGCAATCCTCCTGTCTCAGCCTCCCAGAGCACTGGGATTACAGACATAAGCCACCATGCCTGGCTTTATTCTATATTATTTAAACTTTTTACTGTGATCTAGTAGTTAGGGAAATAAAAAAAATTACCCATTAGATTAAAAAAACTAAAGAAAATATTTGATGATATTAAAGGTTGGCAAGAAGTTTGGGAAATACCCTGAAGAATTTCCTGAGCCAATTCCATTTCTGTGTCTGAGGCACAGAGAGTAGAAATTGGGTAGAGCCAGAGAGAGGGTGAGACTAAGATTTTAGGTGAAGATACAGTTAACAAACATTGAATATTAAATTATTACTTTTTACCTCAAAGTTTAATGGTTTGTTTCAAAGGCCAACAAAATTACTGGTTTGTTTCATAGGTCAAAACTAAATATTTTGCATCACAAACAACCTTAAGTTTGTCTCTTTTGAGTAGGGCAGACTGGGCAAGGTATAAGGTGAATTTAACTTTTTCGTTATGTAGTTCAAGTTAAAACAGCAGGCATCTTAGTTTGCAAAAGTGTATATCAGAAATGGGCAGAAGGAGAGCACCCACAAAGGGGAATCATTAAGGACAAGATCTGATTTTAAAAAGGATCTAAGAAAGTAAATTTTAGAATTTCTGTTTTTATCATCCCACTCTCTTACGTTTTCCAGGCTCAAAGTTATGTTAGAGTAAGAGTAATTCATGCTTGGAAATATTCCAATAAATAAAATATTTTATAAAGAAACATTTAAGTATATTAGTGTAATTGTTCTTTTTTTTTATTATACTTTAAGTTTTAGGGTACATGTGCACATTGTGCAGGTTAGTTACATATGTATACATGTGCCGTGCTGGTGCACTGCACCCACTAACTTGTCATCTAGCATTAGGTATATCTCCCAGTGCTATCCCTCCCCCATCCCCCCACCCCACCACAGTCCCCAGAGTGTGATATTCCCCTTCCTGTGTCCATGTGATCTCATTGTTCAATTCCCACCTATGAGTGAGAATATGCTGTGTTTGGTTTTTTGTTCTTGCGATAGTTTACTGAGAATGATGGTTTCCAATTTCATCCATGTCCCTACAAAGGACATGAACTCATCATTTTTTATGGCTGCATAGTATTCCATGGTGTATATGTGCCACATTTTCTTAATCCAGTCTATCATTGTTGGACATTTGGGTTGGTTCCAAGTCTTTGCTATTGTGAATAATGCCGCAATAAACATACGTGTGCATGTGTCTTTATAGCAGCATGATTTATAGTCATTTGGGTATATACCCAGTAATGGGAGACTTCATGTCCAAAACACCAAAAGCAATGGCAACAAAAGCCAAAATTGACAAATGGGATCTAATTAAACTAAAGAGCTTCTGCACAGCAAAAGAAACTACCATCAGAGTGAACAGGCAACCTACAACATGGGAGAAAATTTTCGCAACCTACTCATCTCACAAAGGGCTAATATCCAGAATCTACAACGAACTCAAACAAATTTACAAGAAAAAAACAAACAACCCCATCAAAAAGTGGGCAAAGGACATGAACAGACACTTCTCAAAAGAAGACATTTATGCAGCCAAAAAACACATGAGAAAATGCTCATCATCACTGGCCATCAGAGAAATGCAAATCAAAACCACTATGAGATATCATCTCACACCAGTTAGAATGGCAATCATTAAAAAGTCAGGGAACAACAGGTGCTGGAGAGGATGTGGAGAAATAGGGACACTTTTACACTGTTGGTGGGACTGTAAACTAGTTCAACCATTGTGGAAGTCAGTGTGGCAATTCCTCAGGGATCTAGAACTAGAAATACCATTTGACCCAGCCATCCCATTACTGGGTATATACCCAAGTGTAGTTGTTCTTTATTAACTACTGAAAAATATGACAATTTTTTTTTTTTTTTTTTTTTTTTTTGAGACAGAGTCTCACTCTTTCACCCAGGCTGGAGTGCAGTGGCACGATCTCGGCTCACTGCAAGCTCCGCCTCCCGGGTTCACACCATGCTCCTGCCTCAGCCTGGTCCCAGCTGAGTAGCTGGGACTACAGGCACCTGCCACCACGCTCGGGTAATTTTTTGTATTTTTAGTAGAGACGGGGTTTCACTGTGTTAGCCAGGATGGTCTCAATCTCCTGACCTCGTGATCTGCCAGCCTCAGCCTCCCAAAGTGCTGGGATTACAGGTGTGAGCCACCATGCCCGGCCCTGGAAAAATACGACAATGTATTTTTTAAATATTATGTATTTCTTATAAAACTTGTAATGAAATCACTGACAATCTAGAAAATTAAAGGAAAAAAGTTAAAGATAATCACCTCTAATATCACTGCCCTTATACAATCTTTCATATAACTCTCATACAGTTATAGCATTTTTTGCATGTGTTCTGATACTTTATGTACATATGAATATGTTTTATATAATTGTTGTAATTTGTACATGTAGTCCAGTTTCATATTTTATATTGTAATCAACTTTTATGTGATTACATAGTTCTTACTCCATTCAACAAATATTAGTTGGTTCCTTCTATATGCAGAGTATATATTGATAAAGAAAATAGGATCTTTGAGAAATTCCCAGTTTTACAAGGAAAATAGCATGAGATCATTACAATTAAATGTGCTAACTTGTATGATGGGATAAGCACAGACACATATGGGAACACCCAGAGGAAACTCCTTCCCCATGTTAAGGGTCAGGGTAGGGATCTCAAAAGAGGATGTGCCATTTAAGCTGAGAGGAAAAGGTCAAGTGAGAGGTAGGTTAATGGAAGGTGAAGAGTGTTTCAGGAAGAAGGAATGCACTGTGCAATGAGCCTGGGCCTAGCGGGAACAAACTGTAGTGTATTCAGAAAGCTGGGAGGGAGCCGTGGATACTACTGGGGTTCAGCAGGTTATGCAGAGTCTTAAGTATATGAAAGTATAATACACATCAAGAGGGGTAGCTTTTAACATATAAACATATGTTAAAAAGCCTTGAAAATGGATGTTGTAAAGGGATTAAAGGCATAAAGTCCAGGTAGAATACTGTTGAAAAATAATGAGGGTACCAGGAAGAGTAATGAGGTAAAGAGCTTGCATGGGAACTGTAAGGAGGAGAGAGGAAAAGAGGAATCAGCAGAAAGGAAGTGAGTAGAACAAAACCAAAGTGGTGGGTGACTCTAGATATTGAGAGGTAGCAACAGAATCAACTGTAATGACTGGGGACAAAGAATGAGGATGGGGAAAGCAGTGAATGGCTATACTATTTAAGATTTTAGGAAGAATGTAAAGCCTAAAACTACACCCTCGCATTCTATTTGTTTCTTATTCCCCAGAAACCAAGAATGGGTACCTTTGAAACTTCTGAAGCATCTGGCCTATTAAATATCCCCTTCTTTCCCAAGTTGCTACTATATTGATTTCTAGATTAACCTTCTGTCCACTTCAAATGACTTCCTTCATGGGATCCTCTGTCCCTACTCATCCTAAGGGTCAGAGCTCTCTCTCTCAATCTCTTTTTTTTTTTTTGAAATGGAGTCTCACTCTGTCACCCAGGCTGGAGTGCAGTGGTATGATCTTGGCTCACTGCAACCTCTGCCTCCCAGGTTCAACTGATTCTCCTGCCTCAGCCTCCTGAGTAGGTGGGATTACAGGTGTGTGCCACCATGCCCAGCTAATATTTGTATTTTTAGTAGAGACGGGGTTTTGCCATTTTGGCCAGTCTGGCCTCAAACTCCTGACCTTGTGATCCCCTGCCTTGGCCTCCCATAGTGCTGGGAGTATAGGCATGAGCCACCACGCTGGGCCAAGGTCAGAGCTCTCTACTGTTCTGTCATTAGTCCTTTTTTTCCAGTCCCTGTTTCCTTGGCAATCTCATCTATGAATGAGATAGGTGCTGATGGCGCCCAAATGCATATCTCTAAACCAGACCTTTTTCCTAAATGTCAAATCCATTTTTAAAAATGAATTACAGCATATTTAACTTATCTTTCCAACATGGGCTCCTCCACCTCAACCTAACTATAACTGAATTATTTGCATCTCCATTCAAGCTTGCTCCTTTTCATGTGTTCCTTATTTTGGAGTCTAGACCCACATCTAACAATCTAACCAGTTATGCCACCAAGTCAGAAACAGAGAGTTATCTTTAACCTTTTCTTCTCTTTCTTCTTTATCACCTCCCCAACCCCTGCATATCTAATCAGTAATCAAAACCTAAGAATTCTATTTCTTGAATATCTCTCAGATGTGTGTTCATTCGCCCAGACCTTCTCACCTTTCATTTCTGACTAACTTGTTTGTTGTTGCCTTAGTTAATATTCTCTTTATTCCTGGCGGACCTTCCTAAGTGATCTACCTTGACTCTTCCTTATGCACTTTCCAGATTCATGTCCCATTCTCCATGCACAATGATACTCGAGCCAAAAGGAACCACCTGTGGGAATTTCTCTAATGCTACCTCCACGTTCTTTCATTTCTTACTCTGTCCCTTCTCTCTAGGAGTGATCTTTATTTTTTTCCCTGATTGACACTTTCTGTCATGAGCCCACAAATCCTGGGTTATATCCTAACTGTATGCTCTCAAAATCAGTCCTTAGATTGCTCCATGATAACTAACTGTCACATAAGGCAATGAATGCAGAAGATTTACATGAATAAAAATAATTCATTTTTGTTAAGTGCTTCCTATAGGCATAGCACTGAACTGAGGCATTTACATTGATTTTCTCATTTGATACAATATGTCCCTCAGGAAAGCACTATTATTACCTTTATTTGAAGATGAGGAAACTGAGCTACAGAAACCCAAGGTCAAAAAGCTAATTAAGTGGCAGAGCATTGATTGAAACTTCAGTGAGTTTACAGCATAGTCACAACACAGGTGCACAGAAACAGAGCACTGTGTTTAATTTTTTAAAATGGAATTTAATTTGCTTCTGAATCCTCATTTCTGCTAGGCAGCAGGAAAAAAAAAAACTAAATGAAACAGATAAATAAACCAATAAACCCTCCAAGTAAAAAGAGTCAAAAGAAATCTTAATCTCTTTCCCTCAACTGCTACCCAGCTCCCAGATACAGATACCGCCACAGGCTTCAGAAAACTGCACATCCATTTTTAGACATCCAGAGCCTCAATGATTACTTGGAGGACAATAGATATATTGAGAACAATATCACAAAAGAAGATCAATAGCTACTGAGAACAATATCGCAAGCTCATATTGTGTACTTGAAGCAATCCTCAGCTCACCACCTGCTAATCATGCTCTGTGTTGATATAATCACAGCGTTAAGAAAGGAAAAGAGCCAGCTTGCCTGGAATGAAGAAGGCTTTAAGAGAGCATGGCCTGGTTA
Organism: Homo sapiens; assembly: GCF_000001405.40. Lineage (NCBI taxonomy): Eukaryota > Metazoa > Chordata > Mammalia > Primates > Hominidae > Homo > Homo sapiens. The sequence goes on from NC_000004.12 coordinate 111,063,813, forward strand.
ATGTGGAAGACACCAAAGGAAAAGGAGCCACATATAGTAAAGAGGACAGTGACATTGCTCTCTGGATCAGACGACAAGGAGAAATGTGATGAAGGAAGAGGCTGATAAAATAATGCTTTAGGCAAGATAGGTCAAGGAAGGCCAAAAATCCTGGACTTGTTGCCAAGTCTTCTAGATGTGAAACCTTGGGATGACAGAGTTAAGGGAACAAGATTACAGGAATATGTCAGGGGACTCAGGCAGACGGCTTGGTCTGAAGCACTTCCAAACTAGTTTTGATAGGATATGCTATCAAGAGGCTCCAGAAACAGGGTGGAGTTGGAGATGATAAATTTGGTACAATGTGCTAGAGGAACAGATAACTTCTTTTGAGGACTGTGTTTAGTCAACAGACAAGACCTCTTTCAATGGGGTCAAAAACCAGAAAGATTCTTAATCTTACCTATCAAAGATTAATTCAGTTATTGCTAATTTACACAGGGGCTCATAGGATAATAAAGTTTATTTTTATTAAATACTTCAATTTTCCAAAGTTCCTCTCTGCTGGGCCTTTGTCATCTCCGATTCCCTTTGCTTCTCTTGGGCAACAAGAGGAAGCTTCTGCATTGTCCCTGTGCTGAGAATGAGGCATCTTGTGGTTTCTGCATTGTCTTGTAGTTTCTGGGTGCTGGCGTCAGTCCTTGTTGGGCACTGTGTGACTCACTGTCTATTCTGGTGAAGGGCCACAGTTTAAGATCTCTTGCTGCTCACTCAACCTCCTGGTGGTTTTTATTGTCTCTGAGAATCTGAGTTACCTTTACCCCTCCCCCTGTATTCTGGGAGGTAAGCTCCTCTGATCTCAGAATGTTGTGGTTTATTTCCCTTGCCCTACTTCCCCCACGACTCTGTAAATTTAACACCAAGAAAGAAGAGAGCTGAGGCCCTCACCGATGTCCAGCTCTCTTCATCTCTCTTTCCAACTGCAGCACTGAGGGGGCCAAGTAGAGAAGTGGGATGAGGGTGAGGAGTAGGGGAGGGCAAGGGAGAGGGAACACTCAGGTCCTGATGACCTCAGTCAGGCTGTTGAGGAGAGCTCTGTATTTTCAGTCACATGAGAAAATTGATTTCCTTTGCTTTCTAGCTACTTTGACATTGAGTTTTCTCATGCTTTCACTATGAAAAATTCAAATTGAATCAAAGAGGTAACTCAAAGTGTTCAATAAAGTATATCCTTCAGAGCATTTTCAGGGGAAAACAGGACATTGGTGGTAGTTATGGGTTTGGAGATTTGTCAAGGTCTTAGTTCGTATCCATTGTGAGTATGTACTGCATGAAGCAGTTGATTCAAAGACACCTGACATGTACCATCCTTGCTGCCTTAGTTTATGCTTTCACAAAGTTACAGGTGATAGAGGATACTGTGAGTGATTTGCAATGGGAGTACTAGTTTGAAATTTGATATCTGAAAGCACACTTGACATATTCCTGATCTCTTTATTTCTTCTTGGTCAGTCTCAAATTGAATTCTGCCATCTTTTACCCCCTTCCTTCCTTTCTCCTTTTTTTTTTTTTTTTTTTTTTTACCACTGGGAACATAGGGCCAATATTACAGTTTGAGGATAAAAATGACTTGAAAGTTATTTTTTCTACATATATTTTTCTCCAGAAACAGAAAATATCAAGTCACCTAGGCTCCTACCCTGTAGTCGATAGAAAAAATAAGGAGGAGGGGAGGCAATATAGTTAGAAAACATTTTTGGTGATGCAATATTCCACATGTCATTACTCAACTATTAGTTTGACAAGGAATCCCTGAAAATATTATTTGACTAAAATTATGAGAAATCTAAAAAACTTCATTAACCATGTTAAATTTTTTTCTGATTAAAAATAAAAGTAGTACTTTCTCCTTATAGTGAATTTTAAAAATTTAAGAAGAACTACCATTGATATATTAGTATTGAAGCTGGCACTCATGGATTTGCAGCTCTTTGGTGGCAAATATCCTCTGGTATATAGAAACTTTGTTCATATAAACTCAGAATTCAATAGCTACATGCTGGATATCTGCTGTAAATTGGCCTAGCACAGAGATAGATCTAGCATAAATTTCTCCTTATTTTCTTTTTTGTCTCCCATCAATAATCTGCTTTGTGAAGGTGAATAAATTAGGTCAATGTCTCAGAGAACATAGGGAGCTGACAGAATTGGATGCAGAGTAGACTCAAATGGAGATTACAAGGAAAAACAGTTACTGTCCCACTGGTAATCTGCAGTTCCACCAGACCCAAGAGCAGATCTTCTGCTTTCCCAGACTTCTATGAATGTGATTTCCATGGATATGGTTAACAGAGTGTGCCCTGGTTGCAGCCTGCTGGGAGGCCGGGGCACACTCTGTTAACCATATCCATGGAAATCACATTCGTAGAAGTCTATGATTCATAGACACTGACTAACCTTTGGGCAAGTAAGTTACCTATTTTGTCAATTACTCAGTTGCCCCATCTGCAAAATGTAGAAAATGCAACACCATTAACTTATAAGGTAGAAAATCTATGCCATATGTTTAGCCCACTACCTCCTAAATAGTAAAAATACTCTAAACCTTAACTATTGCTGTCTAAATATTTTGCTCATTACCAAATATTTATAGATATAAGAACTATTGACACAGCCCCTATATAGCTTGGTGGTTTAAAGACAGTTAGGGTCCTAATAGATACTCACCCATAGTCATAATGTAGAATGTGAAACACTTTTTTTTTCTAACTTAAACATTTGTTATATGGGTATTTCCAGAGTCTTATTAGGGACTTTAAGATCCATAAACAATGAGTAAGCCCATCACTTCCCCAGATGCATGAGTGTTCCTTACTCACTTTGAAGGTCTGATATGCAGGGGTAAGAAAAACTATTTTCCTCTTTCTCTCTTCAATCTCTAAGCAAACTGCCTGCATTTCTAAAGGAAGACTAGAGTTCTGTTGCTTTGAATTTAACAAATGAAAAGAGGATCTTTCTAATTTTTTTATGCAGTAAGCCATAATTTTTAGGTACACTCTGATGTATATCATATCATCACATAAGACTCACATTAACTTCAAAGAGAACAACACACAATGGTGCACAAAGTGGTAAGAAACATTTCCAGGACATAATGAAGTATTATCTGAAGCAGGGCTGAAGCAGATGTCTTGGGAGAGAAAACAGTAGCAGCATACCAGCAGTGTGAGCTGCCATAGTCAGGCCTGGGTCACTCAGCCTTAATGAGATCATGCTGACAGCCAACCAGAAAGGCAGAGCTGAAAAAAAAATTTCATTGGAAGCATTGGAGCCACTGTTGCTAAGCTAAGGCCAGCTTGCACATGTGACTTGGCAGAGAGTTCTGCGAATTCATAAATCTTGCCAGATTTAGGGAGCTGGGGGCATTGAAAAATGACCAAGACCCATGTAGTCATGGAATGCAGTCTACAAGTGAAAATGTCATTTTGTTTTTTGCTCTAAGCAACCAATTTCCCCAATTCAACAATTGCCAAAATATGCCCATTACCCTTTTCTGACTTCTACTTTCATTCATCAGTAAACATTTACCAAACAAACATCTATAAGTCATGTGTTATATGCTTGGCAAAGGAAGAGGTGACATGGGTTCTGACCCATGAAAGCATGTGGAACCCTAGAAGATGGGCCTGGGCCACTACTCCTAGTCTGCTTGAGCAGTTTCTTCTAGCTCCTGTTAGAGGCATGCCATCCCCGAATTCTCTTCACCTGTATTACTGTCAAGTTAGAATAATGGCCTTGTGTTTGGATTGAGCATGGTGAAAAAAGATTTTTACCATCATGGAGAGTGTCTGAGCAGTAGTGAAATTCTACTCTAATTCATCCCTACCACTTCTTGGAAAAACTGTGAGGCTCCATATCCCGGGGGGTTGCATAAAGGGAGGAAAAGAGGGTCTTTATGAGGCTCAGAGTTGAGTTGAGGGTCTAGTCTCCTAAATATCATTTTATAAAGATCTTTTCAGTAATAAAAGAATCCCTGAGGCTGTAGCTCCTGGGCTAGGCCTTCCGATGGGAAATACAGAAGGCCATCAGCTCAGCTGAGTACAAAGAGTAGTGATTCTGCGGGGAGAGGGTTATGGCAGCGGGGCAGGGTGGCTGAAAGGATCAACAGCCATTATTTTTAAATCTCCCTGGATCTCTTTTGTGATACTTAAATTGTAGAGTAAAGAACAAGATGTAGTAGGAAAACAACACTTTGGAGAGAAAGCACACTTTACTGTCCCCTACACAGTATTCTCTGGAGTGGTTAACATAGAAGTTGCACCGCAGGATTATCCACTGCCCACTGCCTTTGCTGGCAAGTTGTTAAGGAATCTGATTAATGGAGGAAATATGGTTTTGGCATAACAATCAAGATGGGCTCTTTAGACAAAGCAGGATTTGTCTCCTTTACCCAATGCCCATTCAAGATGGACAAGTTGACATTTTAAAAATGAAAAACAGATGTTTCATACAAAACTTTAAAAGTGTCAGGTATAGATAAAGGACCCTGGCTACTCAGATGGACTTGATCCAAAAAGAGAATGTGAAGAAATCTGGCATTTCATCCAGTAGGCATAAGTGTGTTCTGAAACAATTATAGTTTACCTTTGAATAAAGGGAAATTATCTAGAATCAGGAAATTAGGAGAGAATGGCTTCTAAATGCCCTAAGAGTCATCACACTACTTAATTGTTATTCTAAACAATTGATCATCACATTATTATCTCCAAATCCCTTTTAATAAAAAGATAAATAAAACTCTGAACAAATTTATAACTACGCACATATTGATAATTAAGCATTTCAATTCAGGCCACTGCAAAACACTCCACAAACCATATGTAGAATATAGTAAATGTTCTTTCATCTTCTTAAAACAAAACAAAAGGGGGCCATCTGCAAAGATATGAATGTTTTTAAATTTTAATTAAAATGTGTTTTTAAGTGTCTAATGCAATGGTATCATATTAAAATTATTTGGGGAACTTTTTAAAAAGTACTTAAGCCAGGCTTCCCCCTTAGATATTCTGATTTTATTTGTCGGTAGTGGAGCTGGACACTGAAATATTTTAAAAGCTCCTCAGGTCATTTTAATGTGTAACCAGATTGGAAAGTACTGCTTTAATGTGGTTAGGCATCTAAAATGTAAAGCTGTATTATGACTTTTTCACCCTGATGTTTACTGGGATATGCCTTAGAATATGCGAAGAGCCACCCCAGTGATTATTGGTAGCAGCCAGCATTTCTGTTTATGTACTCAATAATAGTACAATGCAGTGAGTAGGAACATGGACACTAGTGTAGGAAACGCCTAGTTTGGAATCTCAGGTCTCCGCCTATTAGCCATGTGACCTTGGACAAGTTACTTATACTGTCAGTTTTTCAGTTTTTTTATGTGTTAAGAACCTACCTTCTTAAGTTGTTGTAAAGATTATATATAAATAAGTTTAATACATAATAAAGCCCTTAGAACAACTTCTGGAAAGATCATTCCTTACTATTGAAAAGGTCCCTGGATCTAAATCTTTTTCCATCTCTCCCAGTCACAGAGGGGCCAATAATATAACCTAAAAGTCATTAAACTTTTGTATTCAACACTCCCAGGATTCTACATAATTTATTTGCTTTGTTAACATAATTCTTTATATCAAAAGGTGAGGATGCTTATGAGTCTGTCTCTAGCTTTGTGTTTCTCAAGCTATGGTTCACTTCAATCACCTGAAGTGCTTCTTAGAAACAGAATTGCCTGGGCCGCATTATCTGATATTCTGAGGATGATTCTTTTGCACAATAAAGTCTTAGAATAATGACTCCAATCTATGCTATTGAAATGGGCACTGGTAAGAGAAGAATTATTGCTTTCTTCCTCTTCTAGCCCTGATGTGTCCTCAAGAAAAAAAAAACTTGAAAAAAATCAATATAAGGTATCTATTAGAGGACATGAAGATACAGTTGCCCATATGCCTATAGAGAACCTTATCAATATTGTAGATTTTGACTTTGCATGACAAAGCAGTTTAACTCTATCTCTAAAAGAACACTTGTCACTTATTTTTTTTATTTTTATTTTTTTTAGACAGAGTCTCAATCTGTCCCCCAGGCTGGAGTGAAGTGGCGTTATCTAGGTTCACTGCAGCCTCCGCCTGCACAATTCTCCTGCCTCAGCCTCCTGAGTAGCTGGGATTATAGGCATGCACCACCATGCCTGACTTTTTTGTGTTTGTATTATAGATGGAGTCTCATCATCTTGGCCAGGCTGGTCTCGAACTCCTGACCTCAAGTGATCTGCCTGCCTTGACCTTCCAAAGTGCTGGGATTACAGGTGTGAGCCACCGCACCCGGCCACACTTGTCACTTTGTATAATTTTCAAATGGGTCCCTCCTGCTGGATAATTATCTTCTGAAGGGCATGGACATATCTTACCACTTTTGGGAACCCACACGAGTGGGCTGGAGTGCCTTCTTTGACATGTTGTAAGTCCCCCACTGGAGACCGGGACTGTCCAGAACTAGCAGTGCTGTCTGGGGAGGGGAGGGAGTGCTCTAAGACCAGACCAGGACCCAAGTGTGCCCTGTTCCTGCTTTTTCTTTCTCCCCTTGGGGCTACTTCCCATTTGCTAATACTCCTCTCTCCCCCACACCAGATGCCTGGAGGAGCGCTAAGACTCAGACTAATAAAACTATGAGAGTCCTCCATAGCCAGGCCCATTTCCAGGAGAACAGCTTGGTGGTGGATTGTTCCCACGGATTGGCATGGATTTTATTTCATGGGATTGCATAATACTGGGTTGCCAGAATAATGCTGACATGCTGTTTTGGGGAAACTCTCATTCATTTTCAGACAGGATACATTTCATATTCAATGACTGGAAGATTGTATATATGCGTGTGTGTGTGTGTGTGTGTGTGTGTGTTTCTGCGTTTGTGTGTATATAAACATATACATATGTACCTCTTATTTACCCATTATTCTAAATCTTTATCCATAAATCACCAGACCTCACCTCACATCAGATTTTTTCTAAATATAGGGCCCCCACAACAATTATTTGTACACCCTAGTGATGGTCCTGACTCCAACTTTTACTCTCTTTTTATCACCAAGCATAAAACCATCAGAAATAACAATATTTCTGTATTCTTTCTAACTATATTCAGAGTATTAATCTTTTTTCTGTATTCTTTCCAACTACATTCAGAATATTAGTTACTGATGAGAAAAGAAAAAGGATCCACTTTGAATAAAATAGAAATTGATGCAACAAAAGTTACAAAGCTATGAAATATATTAGGATAAAATATACTGCTGTAACCATTCCGCAATCCTTGGTAAATTTCAAAAATGAAACCTTGCGTTGCATCTACACAACAAGCTTATTGTGCGCTGGTTGTGGGTTCTTCTTCAAATGTCTTTATTTTGGGACTCAGGCTGGTAGAGCAGGAATATTATAAACATCGGTGCTTCCAGTGGCAGGGGAAAGAGGCTTTGTCAGGCCACACATAATGGCTTGGCTTAGAAAGGATATACATCACTTCTGTTCACAACTCATGTCCAGAACTAGTCATGTGGCTCCCACTTAATGACAAGGGGTCCAGGAAGTACAATCCAACAATTTGCTCAAAAGGTGAAGAATCAGAAATATTTGGGGAACACCACTAATGACTATCACAGCTGTATTCAAAGTAGTAGACTTATTCAATGTTTTTTGATTCTAAGGGAAATTTATAGAATTACTGCCTTTTTTATAAATGTCTTCTAAAAAATTGTAGAGAATAAGAAAAAAGTCTCATAAAATACTTCTTATAGATATTAGAAAATTTAAAGTCAACTTCCATATTTATAATTAACAAAGAATAAGGTCAATACATTTCATTTCAAAAACAGGGTCATTTAGTATGGAATTCATACACCAATCCGGAAGCAAAAATCTGAACATAAAGAATACTGAAAGGCAATATAACTAAATTGTTATTTCTAGTTCAGGAAGTACAGGAGTAATGTTTTTCTTCTTCTTTTTTTTTACTACCTGTTTTACATTTCTTATAATGAGTATACATTGTTTTTATAATGGAAAATTATTATAATGGAAAATTTTATGAAATAAACTGAGAGAGAGTAATGTTTTTGAGAAGAAGAAAATGATGAATTTTTACTATTAAATATAAAACCAGATTATTAACTGGTAGCTTAGTTAGCTGGAAAGTGTTTTCCTTCCCTAGAAGTTTAAAAGTAGTATGAAATAAAATACCTAGGAATACAGCTAACCAGGGAGATGAAGGATTTCCACAATAAGAATTACAAACCACTGCTGAAAGAAATCAGGGATGACACAAACAAATGGAAAATATTCCATGCTCATGAATAGAAAGAATCAATATTTTTAACATGGGCATACTGCCCAAAGCAATTTACAGATTCGATGCTATTCCTATCAAACTACTAGTGACTTTCTTCATACAATTAGAAAAAAACTATTCTAAAATTGATATAGAACCAAAAAAGAGTCTGAATAGTTGAAACAATCTTAAGCAAAAATAACAAAGCTGGGTGCATCACATTACTGGACTTCAAATTATACTGTAACACTACAATAAGCCAAACTGCATGGTACTGGTGCAAAAACAGACACATAGACCATTGGAACAGAACTGAGAGCCCAGAAATAAAGCTCTACACCTACAACCATCTGATCTTGACAAAATCAGCAAAAACAAGCAATAGGGAAAGGACTTTCTAATCAATAAATGGTGCTGGGATAACAGATTGGCTATAGGCAGAAGATTGAAACTGGATCCCTTCCTTACACCATATTAAAAAATCAACTGAAGATGGATTAAAGACAAATGTAAAACCTAAAACTATAAAACCCCTTGAAGAAAACCTAGGAAATATCATTCTAGATATAGGTCCTGGCAAAGATTTCATGATGAAGATGCCAAAAGCAATTGCAAGAAAGACAAAAACTTGACAAATGGGACCTAATTAAACTAAAGAGCCTCTTCACAGCAAAGAGACTACCAACAGGGTAAATAGACACCCCACAGAATCGGAAAAATATATTTGCAAACTATGTATCCGAGAAAGGTCTAACATCCAGAGTCTATAAGGTACTTGAACAAATTAACAAGCAAAAATGAAACAATCCTATTAAAAAACAGGCAAAGGACATGAACAGTTTTCAAAATAAGACCTATAAATGGCCAATAAGCATAAGAAAAAATGCTCAACATCACTAATCGTTAGAGAAATGCAAATCAAAACCACAATGAGATAGCATCTCATACCAGTCAGAATGGCTATTACTAAAAAGTCAAGAAATAACAAGCTGGCAAGGTTGCAGAGAAAAGGAAACACCTATACACTGCTACTGGGAAGGTAAATTAGTTGAGCCACTATGAAAAAGCTGTTTGGCAATTTCTCAAAGAACATAAAACAGAACTACCATTTGACCCAGCAATCCCATTATTGGGTATATAGCTAGAGGAATATAAATTATTCTACTATAAAGACACATGCATGCATACATTCATTGCAGCACTACCTGCAATAGCAAAGACATGGAATCAATCTAAATGCCCATCAGTGGTAGACTGGATAAAGAAAATGTGTTATATGTATATACCATGGAATACTATGCAGCCATAAAGAGGAACGAGATCATGTCCTTTGCAGGGACACAGATGGAGCTGGAGGCTGTTATCCTAAGTGAATTAATGCAGGAATGGAAAATCAAACACCACATATTCTCACTTATAAGTGGGAGCTAATCATTGAGTACACATGGACACAAAGAAGGGCACAATAGATACCAGGGCTTACTTGAGAATGGTGGGTGGGAGGAGGGTGAGGATAAAAAAACTACCTATTGGGTACGATGCTTATTACCTTGATGATGAAATAGTATGTATACCAAACCCACATGACATGCAATTTATCTGTGTAACAAACCTGCACATGTACCCCTGAACCTGAATAACAATTTAAATAAATAAATGTAATATTGACACTCGTTAATTTGGAAAGTGAGAACTAATGAAGGAATAGAGATGCTGAAAGAGCTCTATAGATCATCCCAGCCCTAGATTCCTGCCAAAGGCTTTAGATAACTTTGTAAGAGGCACAGCTGCTTGTCAAAAAGAAAATTTCTGTTTAAGTTTTTGCTTTTAGCATTTTGTGTTTATTTGGCTGTACTTTAAGATTTTATTTTAATGAGATCTGGAATGTTACTTAGGAACAACACATCTTAGGTTTTATTGAATCTTGAAATAAGAAGTGATCAAGGTTTTTAGAAGGATACTTTTTCATAGTTTAAAGAGATAATTCAATGTAATAGGACAATTCACTGTAACACTGACAGACAACAGATTAGTAGTTGCCTTAGAAGAGGGCAAGGAGGAGAGCTTTTGGGGAGGGGCCAAGATGGCCAACTAGAAGCAGCAGCTTTCGGAGGCTCCCATCAGAAAAAACAACAACGACAATACCACCAACAACAAAATACATAATAAGCATGTGAATCCTTCACTGGAACCAAGGTATCCAGGTTCTCTCATCAAAATTGACTAGAAGGCTGGTGTGACCCACAGAGAGAAGGAAGAACAGTGTGACCTGGTGGCCCATTTGAGAGCCACACAGGGAAAGGGATCCCCCTCCCACCAGCCAAAGGAGGCAGTGAGTGAGCAAGTTACCTAGCCAGGGAAACTGTGCTTTTTCCATGGAACTGTGCAACCCACGGATTGGAAGATCCCACTCGTGAACCCACGCCACTGGGACCTAGCGTCTCAACCCCAGAATGCGCAGATTCTTATAGCCTCTCAGCTGGAATCTGCTTTAGCTTACTGAGCTCCCGGGAGGGAGGGGCGACCAGCACTGGCTGCTGGGGCCTGCTGTCTAAGCCATTTGAGCTCCTTGCGGGAGGGGCAGCAGCCTTCACTGGGACTCACAACTGCCTAACAGGCTAAGCTCCCTGGGCAGGGGAAAGGGCAACACCCATTTCTATAGCTCCAGGCTGCGCCTTTCCCCTGCTGGAGCCAGGGAGTCTGGATGCCTTGGTCCCAAGATTTGTCCCCACAGCACAACACACTGGCTGTGGCAGTTGGCCGCCAAGGTGCCTCTTCAGGTCTAACCCTGGCCCATCCTTCCTCAGTGGGCGGGGCTTCCCTGCAGGATCTTCAATAACTCCAGCCAGAGGCTCAGGGACAGAATTCCAATCTCCCTGGGCCTGAGCCCCTACGGGGAGGGGTGGCCCCAGTCTCTGTGAACCAGCAGACTTAGCCTCTCCTCCTGGTAGTTCTGAGGAATCCAGGCAGCCAGGACAAAGGGGTTTCCCCTCAGCGAAGCACAACCCATCCACCAAGGGACAAAGTGCTTCATTAAATGGTCCTGCTCCTCATGCCACCCAGCTGGGTGAGACCCTCGAACAGGGGTTGTCAGACACCCTATACAGGAGCAATCCTACTGGCATCAGGTTGGTGCCCCTTGAGGTCAGAGGTCCCAGAAGAAAGAGCAGGCACTCATCTTTCCTGTTCTCCAGCTTCCTTGAGTGACAGCTCCAGGCACGGGGTGAATCAGGTGAATAGGGCCTGATGTGAACCCCCAGCAAACTGCAGCAGCCCTACAGAAGAGGGACCTGACTATTGAAAGAAAAACAAACAAGCAGAAAGTGACAACAACAGCATCAATAACAACAATAAAAAAGGCCCCCACAAAACCCCCATCCTAGGGTCAGCAGCCTCAAAGACTGAAACTAGACAAACTCATGAACGTGAGAATGAATCAATGAAAACATGCTGAAAACCCAAAAGGCCAGAGTATCTCTACTCCTCCAAATGATCTCAACGTCTCTCCATCAAGGGTGCAGAACTGGACAGAGGATCAGATGGATGAATTGACAGAAGTAGGCATCAGATAATGGGTAATAAAAAACTATGCTGAGCTAAAGGAACGTGTTCTAACCCAATGCAAAGAAGCTAAGAACCTTGATAAAATGTTAGAGGAATTGTTAATGAGAATAACCAATTTAGAGAGGAACATAAAAGACCTGATGGAGCTAAAAAACAGCGCGGGTACTTCATGAAGCATACACAAGCATCAGCAGCCAAGTTGACCAAGTGGAAGAAAGGATATAAGAGTTTGAAGGCCACCTTACTGAAATAAGACATGCAAACAAGAATGGAGAACAAAGAATGAAAAGGAATGAACAAAGCCTCCAAGAAATATGGGACTTTATAAAAAGACTGAACTTATGATTAATTGGAGTACCGGAAGGAGATGGGGAGAATGAAAAAGATGGAAAACACTCTTCAGGATATTATCCAGGCGAACTTCCCTAACTTAGCAGGCCAAAATGCAAATTCAGGAAACACAGAGAACACCATTAAGATACTCCGCGAGAAGATCAACCCCAAGACATGTAATCATCAGATTCTCCAAGGTCGAAATGAAAGAATAACTGTTAAGGGCAGCCAGAGAGAAAGGCCAGATCACCTAGAAAGGGAAGCCCATCAGACTAACAGCAGAAACCCTATAAGCTGGAAGAGATTGGGGGCCAATATTCAACATTCTTAAATTAAAAAATTTTCAACCTAGAATTTCATATCCAGCCAAACAAAGCTTCATAAGTGAAGGAGAAATAAAATTATTCCCAGAGAAGCAAATGCTGAGTCATTGCATTACCACCAGGCCTACGTTGCAAGAGCTCCTGAATGAAGCACTAAATATGGAAAGGAAAAACTGATACCAACCACTGCAAAAACACACCAAAATATAAAGACCAATGACACTATGAAGAAATTGCATCAACTAGTGTGCAAAATAACCAAATAGCATCATGATGGCAGGATCAAACTCACATATAACAATACTAACCTTAAATGTAAATGGGCTAAATGCCCTAATTAAAAGACACAGACTAGCGAATTGGATAAGGAGTCAACATTCATCAGTGTGCTGTATTCAGGAGACCCATCTTACATGCAAAGACACACACAGGCTCAAAATAAAAGGATGGAGGAAAATTTACCAAGAAAGTGGAAAGCAAAAGAAAACCAACCAACCAAACAAACAAATGAAAAACCAGGGGTTGCAATCCTAGTCCCTGAAAAAAGACTTTAAACCAACAAAGATCAAAAAAAGACAAAGAAGGGCATTACATAATGGTAAAGGGAACAATTCAACAAGAAGACCTAACTATTCTAAATATATGCACCCAATAGAGGAGCACCCAGATTCATAAAACAAGTTCTTAGAGACCTACAAAGAGACTTAGGCTCCTACACAATGATAGTGGGAGACTTAAACACCCCACTGTCAGTGTTAGATCAATGAGACAGGATTAACAAAGATATTCAGGACTTGAACTCAGCTCTGGATCAAGTGGAACTAGTAGACATCTACAGAGTTCTCTACCCCAAATCAATAGAATATACATTCTTCTCAGTGCCACATCGCACTTATTCTAAAATTAACCACATAATTGGGAGTAAAATTCTCCTCAGCAAATGCAAAAGAACTGAAATCATAACAAACAATCATACCACAATGCAATCAAATTAGAACTCAGGATTAAGAAACCCACTCAAAACCAATCACATGGAAATTGAGCAACCTGCTCCTGAATGAATCTTGGATAAATAATGAACTTAAGGCAGAAATCAAGAAGTTCTTTGAAACCAACAAGAACAAAGAGACAGTGTACCAGAATCTCCAGGATACAGCTAAAGCAGTGTTAAGAGGGAAATTTATAGCACTAAATGCCCACATCAGAAAGTTAGAAAGATCTTAAACTGACACCCTAACATGACAATTAAAACAGCTAGAGAGGCAAGAGCAAACTAATCCAAAAGCTAGCAGAAGACAAGAAATAACTAAGATCAGAGAAGAACTGAAGGAGATAGAGACATGAAAAACCCTCCAAAAAATCAACAAATCCAGGAGCTGGTTTTTTGAAAAAATTAACAAAATGGATAGACCACTAGCTAGACTAATAAAGAAGAAGAGAGAAAAGAATCAAAAAGACACAACAAAAATGATAAAGGGGATATTACCACTTACCCAACAGAAATACAAACCACCATCAAAGAATACTATATAAACACCTTTATGCAAATAAACTAGAAAATCTAGAAGAAACGGATAAATTCCTGGATGCATACACCCTACCAAGACTAAACTAGGAAGAAGTTGAATCCCTGAATAGACCAATAACAAGCTCTGAAATTGAGACAGTAATTAATAGCCTGCCAACCAAAAAAAAGTCCAGGACTGGATGGATTCACAGCTGAATTCTACCAGAAATACAAAGTGAAGCTGATACCATTCCTTCTGAAATGATTCCAAACAATTGAAAAGGAGGGGCTCCTCCCTAACTAATTTTATGAATCCAGCATCATCCTGATACCCAAATCAGGAAGAGGCACCAAAGAAAAAGAAAACTTCAGGCCAATATCCCTGATGAACATCGATGTGAAAATCCTCAATAAAATACTGGCAAACCGAATCCAGCAGCACATCAAAAAACTTACCCACTAGGATCAAGTCAACTTTATCCCTGGGATGCAAGGCTGGTTCAACATATGCAAATCAATAAATGTAATCCATCACATAAACAGAACCAAAGACAAAAACCATATGATTATCTCAATAGATGCAGAAAAGGCCTTTGATAACATTCAACATCCCTTTGTTAAAAACTCAATAAACTAGGTATTGGTGGAATATATCTCAAAATAATAAGAGCTATTTATGACCAACCCACAGCCAATATCATATTGAATGGGCAAAAGGTGGAAGCATTCCCTGTGAAAATTGGTACAAGACAAGGATGCCCTCTCTCACCATTTGTATTCAACATAGTGTTGGAAGTTCTGGCCAGGTCAATCAGACAAGAGAAAGAAGTAAAGGGTATTCAAATAGGAAGAGAAGAAGTCAAGTTGTCTCTGCAGATGACATGATTTTATATTTAGAAAACCCCATCATCTCAGCCCAAAAACCTCTAGAACTGATAAGCGACTTCAGAAAAGTCTCAGGATACAAAATCAATGTGCAAAAATCCTAAGCATTCCTTTACACTAACAATAGGCATCAGAGAGCCAAATCATGAATAAACTCCCATTCACAATTGCCACAAAGAGAATAAAATACCTAGGAATACAGCTAACAAGGGATGTAAAGAACCTCTTCAAGGAGAACTACAAACCACTGCTCAAGGAAATAAGAGAGGACACAAACAAATGGAAAAACATTCCATGCTCATGGATAGGAAGAATTGATATCATGAAAATGGCCATACTGCCCAAAGTAATTTCTAGATTCAATGCTATTCCCATCAAACATCCATTGACATTCTTCACAGAATTAGAAAAAAACTATTTTAAATTTCATATGGAATCAAGGAAGACCCCGTATAGCCAAGACAATCATAAGCAAAAATAGCAAAGCTGGAGGCATCATGCTACCTGATTTTAAGCTTTGCTACAAGGGTATAGTAACCAAAACAGCATGGTACTGGTACCAAAACAGACATACAGACCCTAATGGAGCAGAACAGAGATCTCAGATATAACTCCACACATCTACAACCATCTGATCTTCGATGAACCTGACAAAACAAGCAATAGGGAAAGCATCTTCTATTCAGGAAACTGTGTTGGGAGAACTGGCTAGCCATAGGCAGAAAACCGAAACGGGACCCCTTCCTTACACCTTATACAAAAATTAACTCAAGATGGATTAAATACTTAAAAGTAAAACCCCAAACCTTAAACACCCTAGAAAAAAACCTAAGCAATACCACTCAGGACATAGACATGGGCAAAGACTGCATGACAAAAACACCAAAAGCAATTGCAACAAAAGCCAAAATTGACAATGGCATCTAATTAAACTAAAGAGCTTCTGCACAGCAAAAGAAACTGTCATCAGAGTGAACAGGCAACCTATAGAATGGGAGAAAATACTTGCAATCTACCCATCTGACAAAGGTCTAATATCCAGAATTTACAAGGAACTTAAACATATTTACAAGAAAAAAAAAACCCATCAAAAAGTGGGGAAAGGATATGAACAGACACTTCTCAAAAAAAGACATTTATGCAGCCAACAAATATGAAAAAAAGCTCAACATCATTGGTCATCAGAGAAATGCAAATCAAAACAACAATGAGATATCATCTCACACTAGTGAGAAAGGCAGTTATTAAAAAGTCAGGAAACAATAGATGCTGACGCGGCTGTGGAGAAATAGGGACGCTTTTACAACTGTAGGTGGGAATGTAAATTAGTTCAACCATTGTGGGAGACAGTGTGGCGATTCCTCAAGGATCTAGAACCAGAAATACAATTTGACACAGCAATCCCATTACTGGGTATATACCCAGAGGATGATAAATCATTCTATTATGAAGACATATGCACACATATGTTTATTGCAGCACTATTTACAATAGCAAAGACATGGAACCAACCCAAATGCCCATCAATGATAGACTGGGTAAAGAAAATGTGGTATGTATACACCATGGAATACTACACAGCCATAAAAAGGAATGAGATCACGTCCTTTGCAGGACATGGATGAAGCTGGAGGCCACCATCCTCAGCAAACTAACCCAGGAACGGAGAACCAAACCCTGCATGTTCTCACTCATAAGTGGGAGTTGAACGTTGAGAACACATGGACAGAGGGGTGAATAACACACACCAGGGCCTATTGGGGGGTAGGGGGCAAGAGGAGGAAACTTAGAGGACGGGTCAATAGGTGTAGCAAACCACCACGGCACACGTATACCTATGTAACAACCCTGCATGTTCTGCACACATATCCCGCTTTTTGTTGTTGTTGTTTTTTTTTAGAAGAAATAAAGAAGAAAAAAAAGAAGAGGGCAAGTAGGTGTGGAGGAATTACAAAGGGGCTGAGGAAATATTTGGGGGTAATGGGTATATTAATTATTTTGATAGTAAGTTATGATTTATTAAATATATGTCAACTTATCAAATTACATAATTTAAATATGTGCAACGATAACTAAATGAAGCTATTTAAACATACAATTTAGTATAGACTGTGAATAGTGAAACTTAAGAGGTTTCATCTTACATTAAGTTGTCAAGCTACAAAAATCAGGTTAGACTCTGATACGTATGTGAGATTATTAGATGAAGCTGGAGAAAATGAGAATGGTGAAGGAGTTGGTATCTTATATGCAATTAACAAACTGGAAGTTAAGTGGTAACAGTGCTGTGCCTTTAAGTTTTGAATGTACTTATAACTTCTGTGGCTGAGAGTCAGGATAACTACATGGATCCCTATTTGAAACTATTTTGTTGGTCACTGTTTAACACAATTATAATCTATGAGTTTTGTCATTAAGACAGATTGATATCTTTCAGCTATCACCTGAATGTGGCTCAAAACCAATTTATATAAACTCATTTTAACTTGGTGATTCTGAAAACGTTATTAGATATGTGAGTTTGCAGATAACACCCAATAAATGTTAATAAGTGAAATTTAAAATTCCAAGATAAACATTAACATGTGAATGTTACCATATCTTCAATGGGTGCAAGCTGTATCATTATCATAAAATTTGGAAACACTGTCCTTGCTATATAATGTGATTTATTTCTTGTATATTTTTAGTACATTAAACTTCTGGATTCTAACTTTAATTTTTAAAAATTTAGGCTAATAATAATGAGGCTAAGCTTCTAAACATAACTGAAGCTATTTCTATATGAGGAAATGCAGAACTGAGGTGAAAATATTCTTTTGATCCAATAGATCAGCTGTGGTTATTATGTTCTACAAAGAGATAGACATTTGAGTCACTTTGATCTTCTCACCATTTATGAGGGCCACAGCTGATTGGATTAAGAGACACATGCTCTCAAAGCTATCCTACCACCAAATATGTAGAAATAATTTAAGCCTAACTAATGAAATACTTTCAAATTCTAATACTTCACACGCACAGTGAAAAATGATCCAGTTGCAAAGAGGTACTCATTAACATTTGCATGTGAAATTGCTAATGATTTAAATAATAAGTAAAAACTAACTGGAAAACATTCCTTCATACAGGAAAAACCTTCCAAAACTATTTGTATCTTGGCCAAAATAGGCAGACATTTTTCGATACCTTTTTTTTTTTCACCAAGTACTTGAAGTGGAACTCAGTATTTCAAGTACTGAGTGGAAGCATTATATTAAAAATTTGAAAGTTAAGTTCCCAGAGGTGGATGCCATTGCCAATTCACTTTGTTTAGCACCCAGCAGAGTAACTCTTTAGGGGAAGAAGTAAAAATGTATTTGGATTTTAAAGACCAGCAGAATTAGATTTGAATACAACTTAACTAGGTCCAGATGATAGCTAATTGATGAGGCTCATAAAGAGCTGTAAGAAATCCTTGACCCTTCTATCCCAAAATAGCTAAGCCAGCACATAGGTACCCATTAATGAGTGACTGGTTGGTGAAGATGCTGGTGACATTGAAGAATGGGAGAAAATATAACATCTCTAATCAATACTCAAATCTAGATTTCAGGAAATTGTGAATATATTCATAGAGTGCCAACAGCAGCAATGCTTCTATAGATAACGCTCTTTCCTAGAACAGTTTGGGATGTGAGAAAAGGAATAGACATTTCGATAATCAAAAGCTCCATTCCATAAAACCAGCATGTGGTGCCAAGAAAAATTTGAATCCTTAATGAGCCATGCTTTTGTTGGACTCATAAATGTTAATGAAAACAGTGGCAGAGATGGCTTGCTGTTCATTGTCCAGTCACTCTTACAGTTTGATGTCCCTGTGTGACTCAGTTCTAGCTAAAGCACAAATGATGAACCTAGCAGACCCGGCTAAGACCCACTGGTCTTTCTCATCCCTTCTAGGTATTTGAAATGGAAGTAACTCTCAGCATGACCTTCGGACATAAGTATTAAAAACGACCGAGACACTATTAGAAGATAGTTGAATATCTAAATTGCCATATAGAGAATATACTTCCACTGATCAGGAATATTCATTTTGGACATCACATGCATTTCCATTTGGTTAATGGAAATACACTTCCATTTGGTTAAGCCATTGTGATTTGTGGTTTTATTTGTTTCAGCAGCTAGCATCGCCACATTAATACAACTGACAAACCATTAATGGTTGCATCTCTATATCACAGATAGGAGCATATTTAGGACAATATTAAATTTATGTGTGGGGACGATAAGCAAAGAAGAAGTTATTACTTTTCAAATTGTATTAGTCAGAGTTCTCCAGAGAGACAGAACCAACAGGATATGTATATATAAATATATAATACAGGATTTATTATGGAAATTGCCTCATGCAATTACGTAGGCCAAGAATTCCCATGATATGTTCTCCAAACTAAAGAATGAGAAAAAGCAGAGGTGTAATTTGTTCTAAGGCCAAAGGCCCAAGAATGGAGAAGCGTAGAGAGGGAGGGAGAAATGTACTGCATGTGCTGGTATAAGCCCTGGAACCTGAAGGCCCAAGATCCAGGGACTCTTATGTCCCAGTACAGCAGAAGGTGAGAGCTCTAGGACAAGAGAGAGTTAATTTGCTCTTTCTCTTCCTTTTTACTCTGTTTGGATGATACCTGCTTACATTGGTGAGAAGGGATCTTCTTACCCTAACAATTCAAATGCTGATCTCTTTTGGAAACATCCTCACAGACATACATAAAATAATGTTCTATCAACTATTCGGGTATCCCTTAACCCCATCAAACTGACACATAAAATTAACCACTGCACATATTAAACATATTAGGTTTTTATTGCATCAGTTACTGGGGCCCAGATTTCTTGATACTGTTTCCTCATAAAATAGATTGAAAACAATCTCTGCATTTTGAAAACTATAATTGAAGCATATCTTTCTCGTGGCACTTTTCACCATTTTCTACACTATAGATATTTGGATACATATTTTATATTATTTCTCCTTCTAGATATTTTACTCTTAAAGCCTGGGATTATGTGTGATAATTTTTTTTTTTTTTATCATGGCTCACCACAACCTCTGCCTCCTGAGTTCAAGTGATTCTCCTGCCTCAGCCTCCCAAGTAGCTGGGATTACAGGCATGTGCCATCACACCTGGCTAATTTTTTGTATTTTTAGTAGAGACAGGGTTTCTCCATGTTGGTCAGACTGGTCTCCAACTCTCGACCTCAGGTGATCCGCCCACCTCGGCCTTCCAAATTGCTGAGATTGCTTTGTTGAACATTTTAGCTCAATAACTGTTATTAAATGAATGTTGAAGTGTAAACCAATATTTAATTCTATTAAAAAGGTTAGAGAGCATCTAAATGTGTATGTAAATTATTTAACATTTTCCTTGTTTGTGGTTAATATGTAATTTAAGACTTTGGGTCAGTGCAGGTTAAAAATTAGGAAATCTGTGTTTTTAATATTTTGGCAATATATCCTTATCCATGGGGTAAATAGAATGGATGCTATTTGTAGTAAGTATGGATTTTTTTTCTAGTTAGGTGAAATTTGACATATTCCTGCAAAAAATTACGGAGCTTGTAAGTTTTCCACTTTTTTGAAAAAAATATATATCGAGCTTTCATTTGTTTATTTTTTTGTGATGCATATGAGTCTCATATGCAGAATGAGAAGAATAAAAATCTTGTGTACTTGTTGAGCTCATGCAAATGTAAATATATATGTATATATGATTTAGCAGTTAGAAACAAATTATTCATTTAGTTCTCACAGTAAGTTACATCATCATAAAATGCAATTCATAGTTTTATATTTGTAGTTATTTGTTTATGTACTTCTTTTATTAGTGGTTCTGAAATTTTGTATTCTTATATCTTAAAAGAAACATTTTTATTTACTTTTATTTAAAAAAACCCTCACTTTTGCCAAATGCACCATTTAATTCAGGGATAAGAATGTAATCAAAGCATTAACTGCTTATATTTATCTAACTGACTTTATTTTACAGTTATTTTTAAAACTCTGTACCTCCTGTTCAATTCTTCCATGAACCTAATAAAATTAAGTTTATTAAAAAATTTTAAAATCAACACAAAATATTTCTAACAAAAATTAAGATGATCAAGATATTTAATAGTAAATATTTAGATGTTTGTGCTAGTCATACAATGCTTTACAACATGCATCAGCAATTTTATGCAAAATACATAATTTAAAAATCAATCTTTATAAAATATTCTATATTTATGTTTTTGTTTGACAGGAAAGGTTAAGAAATACTACTGTAATTTTGAAAAACACTATATTTTTCCTTTTTAATGTGTGTGTGTGTGTGTGTGTGTGTGTGTGTGTGTGTGTGTGTATAGTTGGTCCTGGAACAACATGTTTGAACTGCTCAGGTCCACTAATACATGAATTTTCTTTTGCCTCTGTCACCCCTAAGACAGCAAGGCCAACCCTTCCTCTTTCTTTTCCTACTCAGCCTACTCAATGTGAAGATCATGAGAATAAAGACCTTTATGATGATCTACTTCCATTTAATGGTCAATATATTTCCTTCTTCTTATGATTTTGTTAATAACATTCTTTTCTCTTGCTTGTTTTATTGTAAGAATACAGTTTATAATACATATAACATACAAAATATGTGTTAATTAAATGTTTATGTTATTGATAAGGCTTTCTGCCAACAGTAGGCTATAAGTAATTAAGTTTTGGGGAGTAAAGAGTCCTAAGTGGATTTTCAACTGCTTTGAAAGTCAGTGGTCTAACCTCTGCAGTAAGGATCAACTCTCTCTCTCTCTATATATATAGTATCTGAATTATGTATATTCATATTTTTGTCTGTTTTATTAGACATATCATCATCATCATTATATATCATCATCATCATTATATATTAGACATTGTGAGGAGTATGAAAAGCTTAAATTTTGGTCCTTTTTCTTTAAGAATATATAATATGCTAAAAGTGTAGATTTTGAATGGTCTCACCACAAAAATAGAAAAAGTATGTGGGGTGAAGGATAGGTCAGTTAGCCTGACTTAATTATTCTGCAATACGTACAAGTAGGATAACATCACATTGTATCCCATAAGTATATACAATTATTATTTGTCAATTATAAAAGTAAAAGAAGTAAAAACAATACACAATCTGGCCAGGAATATATGGCCCTTTCATGTTAATGAGATAACTTCAATGCTGGATGCTAAACTGAGTGCCAACTAAGTTGTGAATAGAATTTAAACGAAGTCTTAAAGAATGGTCAAAATGTAAAAAGGCAGAAATGAGAAGCGAGGGTCTTTCAAGCAAAGAAATCTGGTTGAGAATCATGTGGAGATAAAATAGATTAAAGGCATAGCTCTGGACTCATTAGGATCATCTGAGGAGCTTTAAAAATCTGGTGTCAAGGCCACACTCTAGAGTTATCAAGTAAGACTCTCTATGGGTGGGATCAGGAATCTGTACAGTATTTCTAAAGCTTCCCAGGTGATTGATTCCAAAGGACAATAAAGGTTGAGAACTGCTGGAGTGAAGCATGTTGTAGGAGCTATCAGATCTGCTTGGGTACAACTGCAGTAGAGAAAAGAAGAGAGAGGAAGCAATTTGAACAGAAACAAAAATGCTAGGCCATTGTGTGAAATCTTATAAATTTTAGTTATTGAGAATGGAATACAACTAGAAAGAAGAATGAATTACTTTCCTCAGTTGATGGTGACTAGAACTGTGTGGCAATTAATTGTCAAAAGAATGCTGGCTATATTGTGGAGATGATGATGACTTCAGTTTAAATGTATTTATTTTAAGCTAACAGTGAGGCATTCTGTTAAGTATATCTATTGTCTTTTTGTCTACAAATTTTTAGATGATTTCTTCTTGCAAAATTACTATAAACACTATTGTTTCTTCTGTTTATCAAAAGCATCAAAAAGTTTCACAATGTTTTTAAGATTCTTTATAGATTCAGAATAAAGCCTCAATTCACTAAGCCTGTTCCTTTTGTTCTAACGTAGAATTAGCTCAAAGATCACAAAGCTAAAAATTAGCTGTAGCATGGTAGCTGCTTGTGAAATCATGGAAATACAATTTAAGTGCCAAGCAAAGCAGCTACCTAGAAACACACATTGCTGACCTTCAGCTGGAAACAAACTTGGATGCCAAAATTTTCCCATTAATGCAAGGAATGGTTTCTATTCAAAGTTAAGCTACTAAAATGTTCCGATATAGTCATGTATCACTTAATGATGGTGTGATGTTTTGAAAAAAGTGTCCTTAAATGATTTCACCATTGTGCAAAATCATAGAGAGTACTTTGATAAACCTAAATGGTATAGCCTACTATGCACCTAGGCTATGTGGCATGGCCTATTGTTCCTAGGCTATAAACCTGTGCAGCATGTTACTATACTGAATACTATAGGTAATAGTAACACAATGTTAAATATTGTATACCTAAACATGTCTAAGCATATGAAAGGTACAGGAAACATACAATATAAAAGATAGATAAATATATGGTACATCTGTGTAGCACACGTACCATAAATGAAGTTGACCAGGACTACAAGCTGCTCTGGGTGTCAGTGAGTAAATGTGAAGGCCTAGGACATTACTGTACACTACTGTAGACTTTATAAACCCTGTATACTTAAGCTACACTAAATTTTAAAAAAATTGTGCTATGACATTAAAACAGCTACATTGTCACTGGATGATAGAAATTTTTTAGCTCTATTATAATCTTATGGAACCACTGTCATATCTGCAGTACAGCATTGACCTAAATATCACTATGCAGCACATGACTGTTTATTTCATAATAATAATAAAAACTTGTATTGAAATGAATTTATATTCAAATTTCCCTCAAACAGTAAATATAAGCCATTTAAAATAAAAATATAGTATACATTAAAAATCTAAATTTCCTTAGCCTTATTGGTTCTTATTTATAACACCCAACATTCCTAATTTTATACTATCTCATGAATGTCTTTCTTCTATTCATATGTTGGGGGCACAATTACTTAAAGGAGTTATGATCAAATCAGTTTTGAACTTTTATGAATTTCCTAAAGTTTGGTTCTTTATATACTCTTTTCTCAAACTTGTAAAAAATACTGTGATTATTATTTTATTATTCCAGTTAGAAATGGTGTTCCCCTTCAGCTGAGCTACATATTTCTGAAAAATATCTACTGAGTATTTTATCACTTGCATAAAGCTCTGGCTAGAGTCAGAATATGCTAGCTTACTCAAAGTACATAGAGTAGCTAAGGAACCACATACAGAGTTTTATCTAATATAAAATATGAGTTGTTTTTAATTGATAAAAATAAATGCAAAGATTTCCAGTTTCACATCGTATGTTCTTACGCACAAGTGGGAGCTAAGCAATGAGGATACAAAGGCATAAGAATGATATAATGGACTTTGGGGACTTGGGAGAAAGGGTGAGAGGGGTTGAAGGATAAAAGATTACATAGTGGGTACAGTGTACACTGCTTGGATGATGGGTGGACCAGAATCTCAGAAATCACCACTAAGGAACTTATTCATGTAACCAAACACCACCTATTCTCCAAAAACCTATTGAAATAATAAAAAAATTCTGTCTGTCGTATAAGGAGCTTGGAGGTCATCATTCCGTTCTATCTCCAAGTGAAACGCTGAACAAACTGAATAATCAACAACTCTTCTTAGATCCACAAGAAAAATGAGGTGATAGGGCAAACCACTGTGCCCCAAACTGGCGAGACAGACAAGCTAGACACAGGGAATTACAACTTAAGCAGAACAAAAGCCCAGAAGGAGAAACCTCTGAGGAAACCAGTGTCAGGGTAGGAAAACCTGAGCTGTAATTGACAAATTGATAGAGGTTCAGTGTGGGCAATTCTGAGAGTTAAAAACTCCAAGAAAACTCAGTGATGATGGTGTGGGGCAGGTAGTGCACCCTTCTTTTGTGAGTTCGGCTCCAGGACCTCTACCAGGTCCTCACATCTAAAATCAGAGAAAAATTCCCCTGGATTTCCAGCAGGGGAGGGGAGAAGTAGCTATTTTGAAATATGCCAGAGTATTCTGTTCTTCATAAGGCTTGTCTTCAAGAGAAACTATTTTTACTAGAGCCCAACATATTAGGGTTTTATCAGAGCCCAATAGATCCTGGGGAAAGGGGATACTCAACTCCAGCCTACTCTAGTCTTCTACATGGGGGAAGGAAAATACTCAACTCCAGCACCTTTTAGCTTTCCATGTAGGAGAAGTTAAATACCCAACTCCCGTAAGACAGGATGGCCACCCCCAGCCCCAGCCATCCTGTCTCATCTAAAAAGGAGAAAACATTGAGGAACACTTTTGAAGTTCATCATCTAGGAGCACACACTCTCAGAGAGTGTCACCTAATTGTAAGACTTTAGAATGCTTCCCCTCCCTCCACACCTTACTACCACATCACTAGAGGCCTATGTATAGCTATCAAGAAAAAATTACAAGACCTACTGAAAGGCAAAAAAGACAATTTGGAGAAATAGAAAGTATCAGAACCAGAGAGTCACGTGGCTGGAATGTTGAAATTATCAGACCAGGAATTGAAAACAACTATGTTTAATATGATAATTGCTCTAATGGAAAAAATAGGCAATATACAAGAACAGATTGATAATATAAGCAGAAAGATGGACATTCTTAAAAAGAATTTTAAAAATGCTGGAGATAAAAATATTGTAACAAAACTGAAGAATGTCTTTGATGGAATCATTGTTAGACTGGACACAGCTGACTAAAGAATTGCTGAGCTTGAGGATAAGTCAATAGAAACTCCCCAAACTGAAGAGCAAAGAAAAAAAAAAGACTGGAAAAAAAGAAACAATATTCAAGAACTATAAGACAGTAATAAAAGGTATACATACTCATAATGATAATACCAGGAGAAGAAAGAGAGAAACATAAGAAATATTTAAAGTAATAACAACTGAGAATTTCCCCAAATTAATGTCACACACCAAACCACACATCCAGGACACCAACTAAGATAAATGCCAGAAAAAAAAAACTACCTGTAGGCATATTATATTCAAGCTGCAGAAAATAAAAGATAAAAATATCTCCAAAGAAGCAGGAGAAAAAAAATTACCTGTAGAGAAGTTAAGATAAAAAGTATACCCTTCTCTTCATGCAAGCAAGAGGAAAGTAAAGTGAAATATTTAAAGTATTGAGAAAAGCCCCGCCAACCTAGAATTCTGTACCCTCTAAAATTATCCTTCAAAAGTTAAGAAGAAATAAAGACTTTCTCAGACAAAAAAAAAAAAATTGAGGAACTTTGTGGTCGGTAAACCTTCTTTAAAAGAAATGTTTAAAGAACTTTAGAGATAAAGAAAATGATATAGGTTGAAAACTCAGGTCTAGATAAAGAAAGGAAGAACATCAGAGGATGAATAAGTAAAAGTAAAATAAAAACTTTAATTTTTCTTATTCTTAATTGATTTAACAGATAATATATATATGATATATACGTTTGTATATGAGAGAAATAAATGACAGCAATAGTGCAAAGGATAGCAGAGAAGAATTAGAAATATTTTGTTAGTATAAGGTATTTGTACTCCCCATCAAGTGGTATAGTGTTATTTGAAAGAAGACTTGGATTAATTGTAAATACACATTGCAAGCTACACAACAAACATTGAAAAGAGTACGAAAAGTGTAACTGACAAGCTAAAAACAAGAGAAAACAGAATCATATAAAATGCCCCAAACTACAGGAAGAAAGAACAAAAGGAACAAATGGAAAACAGTAGTGAATGTAGTAGATATTAATCCAAGTATATAAATAATCAATTTAAAACTCAGTGGTCTAAATACACTAATTGAAAGACAGATTGTCAGAGCAGATCAGAAAAGTGTGTACGTCGTGTATAAGAAATCCACTTTAAATTAAATACAGAAACAGATTAAAACCAAAGGAATGAAAAAAGTTGTATCATGCAAACACTCATCAAATGAAAAGTGGAGAAGCTGTATAATTTCAGATACAAGGCTGGGCGTGGTGGCTCACGCTTGTAATCCCAGCACTTTGGGAGGCCGAGGAGAGCTGATTGCTGGAGCCCAGGAGTTCAAGCCCAGCCTGACCAACATGGTGAAACCCCGTTTGTAATAAAAATACAAAAATTAGGCAGATGTGGTGGCGCATGCCTGTAATCCCAGCTACTGGGGAGGCTGAAGCAGGAGAATTGCTTGAACCCGGGAGGTAGAGGTTGCAATGGGCCAAGACCGCACCATTGCACTTCAGTCTGGGTGACAGAGCAAGACTCTATCTCAAAACAAACAAACAAACAAAAAGTTAATTTCAGATACAGCAGATTTCAGAGCAAGAAAAGTTATCAGGGATAAAGAGGAACATGCATAGTGATAAAGGGCCAATCCTCCGAGGAAATATAATAATCCTTAATGTGTATGTGCCTAACATAAGAATATTAAAATACATGAGGGAAAAGCTGATAGAACGGTAAGGAGAGGGAGATATTCACTATTCCAGCTGAAGACTTCAACACCCCCTTTTCAGAAATGAACAGATCCAGCAGGCAGAAAATCTGTAAGGACATAGTTAAACTCAACAACACCAGCAATCAACTGGATATAATTGACATTTGTAGACTATTACATCCAACAACAACAAAATATACATTCTTCTCAAGCTCACATAGAACATTCATCAGATGGACCACATTATGGGCTGTAAGATATATTGTAGCAAAATTAAAAGAATAAAAATCATATGACCTATGTTTTCAGACTACAGTGGAAATAGGCTGGAAATGAACAACAACAAAAAATAGCTAGAAAATTCCCAAATACTTGGAGATTAAATAACACACTTCTACATAACATATGACTCAAAAAAAGGAATCTCAAGATAAAATAAATATACTTTGAATTAAATGAAAATAAAATACAACCTATTAAAATTTGTGGGATACAGTGAAAGCAGTGCTTAGAAGGAAATTTATGGCACTGAATGTATATAGTAGAAAAGAAGAAAGATCAAATATCAGAAATTTAAGAATTCATCTTAGAAACTAGAAAAAGTACAGCAAATTAAACCCAAAGTAAACAGAAGAAAAATATAAAATTTAAGAGAAATAAATGAAATTGAAAACAGGCAAGCAATAGAGAAAAAACAATGAAACTAAAAGCTTGTTCTTTAAAAACATCAATTAGGCTGAGCGCGGTGGCTCACACCTGTAATCCTAGCACTTTGGGGGCTGAGACCAGTGGATTGCCTGAGGTCAGGAGTTCAAGACCAGTCTGGCCAACATGGTGAAAGCTGTCTCTACTAAAAATACAAAAATATTAGCTGGGCATGGTGGTAGTGTGTGCCTGTAATCCCAGCTACTTGGGAGGCTGAGGCAGGGGAATTGCTTGAACCCAGCAGGCGGAGGTTGTGGTGAGACGAGATCACACCACTGCACTCCAGCCTGGGTGACAAAGTGAGATTCCGCCTCAAAAAAAAAAAAAAAAAGATAAATTAAATTCATGTGCCTTGACAGGCTAGCTAAGAATAAAAGAGAGAAGACACAACTAATATCAGAAATGAAAAAGGGGACATAATTACAGATTCCATGGACATTAAATGGATAATGAAAAAATACAATAACAATTCTATGTCCACAAATTTGATAACACTGATGAAGTAGACAATTC
This sequence comes from Homo sapiens, assembly GCF_000001405.40. Classification (NCBI taxonomy): domain Eukaryota; kingdom Metazoa; phylum Chordata; class Mammalia; order Primates; family Hominidae; genus Homo; species Homo sapiens. The sequence goes on from NC_000004.12 coordinate 111,092,507, forward strand.
TTTGAAAGACACAATCTACCCAAACTCAAACGAGGAGAAATAGACAATCTGAATAGGCCTATATCTATTAACAAAACTGAATTAATAAGTAATAAGCTTCCAAACAGAAACCATTAGGCCCCATTGGTTTTACCAGTGAATTCTACCAAGCATTTAAGAAAAAAATTATGCCAATTCTCTAAAATGTCTTTCAGAATATAGAAGCAGAGGGATTATTTCCTAACTCATTCCTAATTATCCTAATACCAAAACCTATCCTAATACAAAAACTAGATAAAGACACAGAAGAAAATAAAACTACAGACCAATATTGCTCATGAATATACATGTGAATATTCTCATCAAAATATTAGCAAATTGAATCTAGCAATATATTGTGGGAGATAAAATTTAAAACAACTGAACTCACAGAAGTAGAGAAGTAATGATTATCAGTGGCTAGGAGAGGTAGTGGGGCAATGGGGGTAGAAGTAGGAATGGTTAATGGTGAAAAAATATAGTTAGGTAGCATGAGTAAGATCCAGCATTTGATAGCACAACAAGGTGACTACAGTCAACAATAATATATAGAACATTTAAAAGTAACTATGCCAGGCATGGTGATGCATGCCTGTAATCCCAGCACTTTGGGAGGTTGAGGTGGGCAGATCACTTGAGCCCAGGAATTCAAGACCAGGCTGGGCAACATGGTGAAACACTGTCTCTACAAAAACCACAAAAATTAGCTAGGCGTGGTGGCATGCGCCTGTAGTCCTAGCTACTTGGAAGGCTGAGGTGGGAGGCTCACTTGAGCTCAGGAAGTTGAAGCTGTAGTGAGCCATGATGGTGCCATAGCATTCCAGCCTGGGTGACAGAGTGAGACCCTCTCTCAATAAATAAATAAATAAAACTAGAAGAGCATAATTGGAATGTTCATAACACAAAGAAATAATAAATGCTAGAGTTAATGGATACTCCATTTATCCTGATGTGATTATTACACACTGTATATGCCTGTATCGAAATATCTTATGTACCTCGTGAATATATACACCTACTATGTGCCCATAAGAATTAAAAATTAAAAAAAATTAAAGTTATATAACAGAACCAAGTGGCATTTTCCCAGATATGCAAGGCTGGTTTAACATTTGAAAATCAATTAATGTAATTCATCACATCAGCAGGCCTAAGAATAAAACTCACATGACCATATCAATAGATGCAGAAAAGCACTTGACAAAATCCAACACCCTCTCATGATAAAAAGTCTCAGCAAACTAGGCATAGAGGCTAATGTCTTCTACTTGATAAAGAACATCACAGAATACCTGTGGCTACCATCATATTTAATGGTGAGAAACTAGGAGTTTTCTGCTAAGATCAGGACCAAGGCAACAATGATCCCTCTCACCACACCTTTACAACATTTTACTGGAAGTACTAGCTCATGCATCAAGAAAGGAAATAAAAAGTATATAAATCATGAAGGAAGAAATAACTGTCTTTGTTCACAGATGATATGGTTGTCTGTGTGGAAATTCTGAAAGAATGAACAAAAAAACCTCTTGCAACTAAGTGATGATAGCAAGGTTGTAAAGGAGGTTAACATACAAAAGTAAATTGCTTCTCTTTATAAATACAATGAACAAGTAAAATGTGAAATCAAAAACACATTACCATTTACATTAGCACCCCCAAAAATGAAATACTCAGGTATAAATCTACAAAATAGGTATAAGATCTATAAAACTCTGGTGAAAAAAGTCAAAGGATTAAATAAGTGGAGAGACATTTCATGTTTATGGAGGAATGCTAAATATTTTCTTCCAACTTGATCTAGAAATTTAACACAATCTCAAACAAAATCCCAGAAAGTTATTTTGTGAATATTGACAAACTGTTTCTAAAGTTTACATGGAGAGGCAAAAACCCTGAATAGCCAACACAATACTGAAGGAGAATAATAAAGTCAGAAGACTGACACTATCCAACTTCAAAATTTACTATAAAACTACAGTAATGAAGACAGAGTGATATTGGTGAAGAAACAGACAGAACAATGGAGCAGAATACAGAGCCCAGAAATGACCCACAAACAATACTTTGAAATAGGAAGACAGATAATACAATGGAGATAAGATAGTGTTTTCTTTTTTTTTATTTTTTTTATTATACTTTAAGTTTTAGGGTACATGTGCACAACGTGCAGGTTTGTTACATATGTATACATGTGCCATGTTGGTGTGCTGCACCCATTAACTCGCCATTTAGCATTAGGTATATCTCCTAATGCTATCCCTCACCCCTCCCCCCACCCCACAACAGGCCCTGGTGTGTGATGTTCCCCTTCCTGTGTCCATGTGTTCTCATTGTTCAATTCCCACCTATGAGTGAGAACATGCGGGGTTTGGTTTTTTGTCCTTGCGATAGTTTGCTGAGAATGATGGTTTCCAGTTTCATCCGTCTCCCTACAAAGGACATGAACTCATCACTTTTTATGGCTGTATAGTATTCCATGGTGTATATGTGCCACATTTTCTTAATCCAGTCATCATTGTTGGACATTTGGGTTGGTTCCAAGTCTTTGCTATTGTGAATAGTGCCACAATAAACATACGTGTGCATATGTCTTTATAGCAGCATGATTTATAATCCTTTGGGTATATACCCAGTAATGGGATTTGTGGGTCAAATGGTATTTCTAGTTCTAGATCCCTGAGGAATCACCACACTGATTTCCACAATGGTTGAACTAGTTTACAGTCCCACCAACAGTGTAAAAGTGTTCCTATTTCTCCACATCCTCTCCAGCACCTGTTGTTTCCTGACTTTTTAATGATTGCCATTCTAACTGGTGTGAGATGGTATCTCATGGTGGTTTTGATTTGCATTTCTCTGATGGCCAGTGATGATGAGCATTTTTTCATGTGTCTTTTGGCTGCATAAATGTCTTCTTTTGAGAAGTGTCTGTTCATATCCTTCGCCCAGTTTTTGATGGGGTTGTTTGTTTTTTTCCTGTAAATTTGTTTGAGTTCATTGTAGATTCTTGATATTAGCCTTTGTCAGATGAGTAGATTGCAAAAATTTTCTCCCATTCTGTAGGTTGCCTGTTCACTCTGACGGTAGTTTCTTTTGCTGTGCAGAAGCTCTTTAGTTTAATTAGATCCCATTTGTCAATTTTGGCTTTTGTTGCCATTGCTTTTTGTGTTTTAGACATGAAGTCCTTGCCCATGCCTATGTCCTGAATGGTATTGCCTAGGTTTTCTTCTAGGATATTTATGGTTTTAGGTCTAATGTTTAAGCCTTTAATCCATCTTGAATTGATTTTTGTATAAGGTGTAAGGAAGGGATCCAGTTTCAGCTTTCTACATATGGCTAGCCAGTTTTCCCAGCACCAGTTATTAAATAGGGAATCCTTTCCCCATTTCTTGTTTTTGTCAGGTTCATCAAAGATCAAATAGTTGTAGATATGCAGCATTATTTCTGAGGGCTCTGTTCTGTTCCATTGATCTATATCTCTGTTTTGGTACCAGTACCATGCTGTTTTGGTTACTGTAGCCTTGTAGTATAGTTTGAAGTCAGGTAGTGTGATGCCTCCAGCTTTGTTCTTTTGGCTTAGGATTGACTTGGCAATGCGGGCTCTTTTTTGGTTCCATGTGAGCTTTAAAGTAGCTTTTTCCAATTCTGTGAAGAAAGTCATTGGTAGCTTGATGGGGATGGCATTGAATCTATAAATTACCTTGGGCAGTATGGCCATTTTCACGATATTGATTCTTCCTACCCATGAGCATGGAATGTTCTTCCATTTGTTTGTATCCTCTTTTATTTCATTAAGCAGTAGTTTCTAGTTCTCCTTGAAGAGGTCCTTCACATCCCTTGTAAGCTGCATTCCTAGGTATTTTATTCTCTTTGAAGCAATTGTGAATGGGAGTTCACTCAGGATTTGGCTGTTTGTCTGTTATTGGTGTATAAGAATGCTTGTGATTTTTGTACATTGATTTTGTATCCTGAGACTTTGCTGAAGTTGCCTATCAGCTTAAGGAGATTTTGGGCTGAGACAATGGGGTTTTCTACATATACAATCATGTCATCTGCAAACAGGGACAATTTGGCTTCCTCTTTTCCTAACTGAATACCCTTTATTTCCTTCTCCTGCCTAATTGCCCTGGCCAGAACTTCCAACACTATGTTGAATAGGAGTGGTGAGAGAGGGCATCCCTGTCTTGTGCCACTTTTCAAAGGGAATGCTTCCAGTTTTTGCCCATTCAGAATGATATTGGCTGTGGGTTTGTCATAGATAGCTCTTATTATTTTGAGATACGTCCCATCAATACCTAATTTATTGAGAATTTTTAGCATGAACGGTTGTTGAATTTTGTCAAAGGCCTTTTCTGCATCTATTGAGATAATCATGTGGTTTTTGTCTTTGGTTTTGTTTATATGCTGGATTACGTTTATTGATTTGTGTATGTTGAACCAGCCTTGCATCCCAGGGATGAAGCCCACTTGATCATGGTGGATAAGCTTTTTGATGTGCTGCTGGATTCAGTTTGCCAGTATTTTATAGAGGATTTTTGCATCAATGTTCATCAGGGATATTGGTCTAAAATTCTCTTTTTTTGTTGTGTCTCTGCCCGGCTTTGGTATCAGGATGATGCTGGCCTCATAAAATGAGTTAGGGAGGATTCCCTCTTTTTCTATTGATTGGAATAATTTCAGAAGGAATGGTACCAGTTCCTCCTTGTACCTCTGGTAGAATTCGGCTGTGAATCCATCTGGTCCTGGACTTTTTTTGGTTGGTAAGCTATTAAATATTGCTTCAATTTCAGAGCCTATTATTGGTGTATTCAGAGATTCAACTTCTTCCTGGTTTAGTCTTGGGAGGGTATATGTGTCAAGGAATTTATCCATTTCTTTTAGATTTTCCAGTTTATTTGCATAGAGGTGTTTATAGTATTCTCTGATGGTAGTTTGTATTTCTGTGGGATTGGTGGTGATATCCCCTTTATCATTTTTTATTGCCTCTATTAGATTCTTCTCTTTTCTTCTTTATTAATCTTGCTAGCGGTCTATCAATTTTGTTGATCTTTTTAAAAAACCAGCTCCTGGATTCATTGATTTTTTGAAGGGTTTTTTGTGTCTCTATTTCCTTCATTTCTGCTCTGATCTTAGTTATTTCTTGCCTTTTGCTGTCTTTTGAATGTGTTTGCTCTTACTTCTCTAGTTCTTTTAATTGTGATGTGAGGGTGTCAATTTTAGATCTTTCCTGCTTTCTCTTGTGGGCATTTAGTGCTATAAATTTCCCTCTACACACGGCTTTGAATGTATCCCAGAGATTCAGGTATGTTGTGTCTTTGTTCTCGTTTGTTTCAAAGAACATCTTTATTTCTGCCTTCATTTTGTTACGTAGCCAGTAGTCATTCAGGAGCAGGTTGTTCAGTTTCCATGTAGTTGAGGAGTTTTGCGTGACTTTCTTAATCCTGAGTTCTAGTTTGATTGCACTGTGGTCTGAGAGACAGTTTGTTATAATTTCTGTTCTTTTACATTTGCTGAGGAAAGCTTTACTTCCAACTATGTGGTCAATTTTGGAATAGGTGTGATTGGTGCTGAAAAGAATGTATATTCTGTTGATTTGGGCTGGAGAGTTCTGTAGATGTCTATTAAGTCTGCTTGGTGCAGAGCTGAGTTCAATTCTTGGATATCCTTGTTAATTTTCTGTCTTGTTGATCTGTCTAATGTTGACAGTGGGGTGTTAAAGTCTCCCATTATTATTGTGTGGGAGTTCTAAGTCTCTTTGTGGGTCTCTAAGGACTTGCTTTATGTATCTGGGTGCTCCTGTATTGGGTGCCTATATATTTAGGATAGTTAGCTCTTCTTGTTGAATTGATCCCTTTACCATTATGTAATGGCCTTCTTTGTCTCTTTTGATCTTTGTTGGTTTAAGTCTGTTTTATCAGAGACTAGGATTGCAACTCCTGCCTTTTTTTGTTTTCCATTTGCTTGGTAGATCTTCATCCATCCCTTTATTTTGAGTCTATATGTGTCTCTGCACGTGAGATGGGTCTCCTGAATACAGCACACTGATGGGTTTTGACTCTTTATACAATTTTCCAGTCTCTGTCTTTTAATTGGAGCATTTAGCCCATTTACATTTAAGGTTAATATTGTTATGTGTGAATTTGATCCTGTCATTATGATGTTAGCTGGTTATTTTGCTCATTAGTTGATGCAGTTTCTTCCTAGCCTCAGTGGTCTTTACAATTGGGCATGATTTTGTAGTGGCTGGTACCGGTTGTTCCTCTCCATGTTGAGTGCTTCCTTCAGGAGCTCTTTTAGGGCAGGCCTGGTGGTGACAAAATCTCTCTGCATTTGCTTGTCTGTAAAGGATTTTATTTCTCCTTCACTTATGAAGCTTAGTTTGGCTGGATATGAAATTCTGGGTTGAAAATTCTTTTCTTTAAGAATGTTGAATATTGGCCCCCACTCTCTTCTGGCTTGTAGAGTTTCTGCCGAGAGATCAGCTGTTAGTCTGATGGGCTTCCCTTTGTGGGTAACCCGACCTTTCTCTCTGGCTGCCCTTAACATTTTTTCCTTCATTTCAACTTTGGTGAATCTGACAATTATGTGTCTTGGAGTTGCTCTTCTCGAGGAGTATCTTTGTGGCGTTCTCTGTATTTCCTGAATTTGAATGTTGGCCTGCTTTGCTAGACTGGGGAAGTTCTCCTGGATAATATCCTGCAGAGCGTTTTCCAACTTGGTTCCATTCTCCCCGTCACTTTCAGGTACACCAATCAGACGTAGATTTGGTCTTTTCACATAGTGCCATATTTCTTGGAGGCTTTGTTCATTTCTTTTTATTCTTTTTTCTCTAAACTTCTCTTCTCACTTCATTTCATTCATTTGATCTTCCATCACTGATACCCTTTCTTCCAGTTGATTGCATCAGCTACTGAGGCTTGTGCATTTGTCGTGTAGTTCTCATGCCATGGTTTTCAGCTCCATTAGGTCCTTTAAGGACTTCTCTGCATTGGTTATTCTAGTTAGCCATTCGTCTGATTTTTTCTCAAGGTTGTTAACTTCTTTGCCATCGGTTCAAACTTCCTCCTTTAGCTTGGAGTAGTTTGATCGTCTGAAGGCTTCTTCTCTCAACTTGTCAAAGTCATTCTCCATCCACCTTTGTTCCGTTACTGGTGAGGAGCTGTGTTCCTTTGGAGGAGGAGAGGTGCTCTGATTTTTAGAGTTTCCAGTTTTTCTGCTCTGTTTTTCCCCCATCTTTGTGGTTTTATCTACCTTTGGTCTTTGATGATGGTGACGTACTGATGGGGTTTTGGTGTTGATGTCCTATCGGTTTGTTAGTTTTCCTTGTAACAGTCAGGACCCTCAGCTGCAGGTCTGTTGTTGTTTGCTGAAGGTCCACTCCAGACCCTGTTTGCCTGGGTATCAGCAGCAGAGGCTGCAGAACAGTGGATATTGGTGAATAGCAAATGTTGCTGTCTGATCTCTCCTCTGTAAGTTTTGTCTCAGAGTAGTACCCAGCCATGTGAAGTGTCAGTCTGCCCCTACTGGGGGGTGCGTCCCAGTTAGGCTACTCAGGGGTCAGGGACCCACTTGAGGAGGCAGTCTGTCCATTCTCAGATCTTAAGCTGCATGCTGGGAGAACCACTACTCTCTTCAAAGTTGTCAGACAGGGACACTTAAGTCTGCAGAGGTTTCTGCTGCCTTTTGTTTGGCTATGCCCTGCCCCCAGAGGTGGTGTCTACAGAGGCAGGCAGGCCTGCTTGAGCTGCGGTGGGCTCCACCCAGTTCGAGCTTCCTGGTTGCTTTGTTTACCTACTCAAGCCTCAGCAATGGCAGGCGCCCCTCCCCCAGCCTCACTGTGGCCTTGCAGTTTGATTTCAGACTGCTGTGCTAGCAATGAGCGATGCTCTGTGGGAATAGGACCCTCCAAGCCATGCACAGGATATAATCTCCTGGTGTGCCGTTTGCTAAGACTGTTGGAAAAGCGCAGTGTTATGGTGGGAGTGACCCGATTTTCCAGGTTCCATCTGTCACCCCTTTCTTTGACTAGGAAAGGGAATTCCCTGACCCCTTGTACTTCCCGGGTGAGCTTGCTTTGGCTTATGCTTGATGTGCTGCACCCACTGTCCTGCACCCACTGTCCAACACTCCCCAGCGAGATGATCCTGGTACCTCAGTTGGAAATGCAGAAATCACCCATCTTCTGTGTCGCTCATGCTGGGAGCTGTAGACTGGAGCTGTTCCTATTCGGCCATCTTGGCTCCACCTCCAAGATAGTGCTTTCAACAAATGGTGTTGGGAGAACACAACTTGACATCTAAATTTAGAAATATGAATTGAGACATAGACATTACATGTCTTACAAAAATTAACTCAAAATGGTTCATAAACCTAAATGTAAAGCACAAAATCCTAAAACTCCCAGAACACATAGAAGAAAATCAATATGACTTTAACTATGGCAATGACATTGTAGATACATCAGTATAAGCACTATCCATGAAAGAAATAATGCATAAGCTGGACTTCATTAAAATTAAAATGTTCTTTGTAAAAGATACTGTCAACAGAATAAAAAAAAACACAGACTGAGAGAGAATATTTGCAAAAGATATGTCTAATAAAGTAGTTATGTAAAATACACAAAGAAATCTCAAAACTTGATAAACAACCCAACTAAAGGAGACAAATACCTGAAGAAGAAAGGAGTTAAAATGGACAAAAGACACCTCACTAAAGAAGATATGCAGATTGCATATAAGCATGTGAAAAGATATTCAACATCATACATCATTAGGGAATTGCAAATTAAGGCAATTTTATACCACTACATATCTATTAGAATGGCCCAAATCCCAAACGATGACAGCACCAAATGCTGGCAAGGATGTGGACCAACAGGAATTCTCATTCATTATTGGTGGAAATGCAAAATACTACAGCCACTCAGGAAGACACTTTGGTGGTTTCTCATAAAACTAAAAATACTCTTACCATGTCATCCAGCAACAGCACTTCTTAGTATTTGCCCAAAGCATTTAACATTTATATCCACATAAAAATCTCCACAGGGAAGTTTATAGCAGCTTCATTCATAATTTCCAAAATCTGGAAGCAACCCTCAGTAGGTACATGGATAAACAAATTGTGGTACATCCAAACAATGGAGTATTCAACACTAAAAAATGGTCTATCAAGCCACAAAAAGACACAGAAGAGCCTTAAATGTATATTAGTAAGTGAAGGAAAATGATAGGCTAATTTTATGATTTCAAAGTTCTGGAAAAGACAAAACAATGGAAGCAGTAAAAAGATCAGTGGTTGCCAGGGTTAGGGGGAGGAAGTGATAAATAGGCAGAGCACAGAGAATTTTTAGGACAGTGAAATTATTCTGTACAATTACCATAATGGTGGATATATGTCATACATTTGTCCTAATTCCATAGAATGTAAACTAGATTTTGGGTTATTGTACCAATTGTAATAAATGTACCATTCTGGTACAGGATTTTGATAGCAGGGATGATGTGCATGTATGGAATTAGAGGGTAAATGGGAACTTGGTATTTTCTACTCAATTTCGTTGTTAGCCCAAAACTACTCTAAAAAATGAAGTCCATTTGAAACAAAAGTTAGCTTATTGGTAAAATTGTGGTTATCTGAAAGGATGCTTATTTTATACTAAAAATGAATTTTTAACATATGTTGAATGAATCAATAGCTTTTGAATTTTAAGTATGAACAATATTTGTATTGTTAAGGAATATTACTTACTATTGATATTGAGGCTAAAATATTTGCAAAAGAGTCCACTGCATGTCTGGTTAAATATTTATTTGGTCAGATTCAGGTAGACCATGAATTCTGAATCTCATTATTACTGTCAGATCTGAGCAAGAGGGGTAACTGCCCCCTGAATCCTGTGATTCAGAAGGCCCTGCAGATTACAAATCAGAAATAAATACAGATAGAGTAATTAATTATTACACGGACATATATAAACAAACACATGCATATATTATAGAATATGCATAGTTATATATTATTTAGTTATATATTATTTATATATTATTTAAACAATTAATAAGTTATAATTATTTAATATATAAGTTATAAGTTATATAATATGCATCATTATATATTATTTAGTTATATATTATTTATATAGTATTTAAACATTAATAAGTTTTATATTATTTAATATATAAGTTATAAGTTATATATTAAACAAAATAAAATATATAATTTGTTATAATTATATTACATGTCATTTATATCTATCTATAGATAAATATATACATACATACACATGCACATATATATAATGAAAAAAATACATGAACCATGCTGTCAGTAGGAATCAGATGCTCAGTGCTGGCTCAGCATGGCCTATGACTGTCAACATCTGCTCTCCTGACCAACAATGATCCGGCCCAGGAAAACACTTCTTTGCAATTGCCTGAAAACCAAAAGTGACTTTAGACTTGTAGTTTTGTGGGTTGTTGTTGCTGATGTCAGAGATAGACACTTTAGAGCGCAATGAATGAACACTTAAAGCACTTAAGGGAAACAAATAAAATAATTTTAGAAACTCTTCATCTCGGCCTAAATCTAAAGGATTTTTTTCACCCAAAAAGTATTTCTAATTGCAAAATATTCTTTTTTTGTGCCTCCTTTTGTGTGCCAAAGATGTGATTCAGTAGATATTTACAAAATGGCATAGTATTCACAATAGTTGCACAGAGCAGCTGAAGAACATCACAATTTTAAATTATTTATATTATTGTTAAAGTTTTACTGTATATTATATGTAAATCTAGGCAGAATATGCAAACAGTACACTGTCTTTTCTTTACAGTGGTTACTAGATGGACATAAAATGCTGGAATTGAAAATAGTTTTATTTTTATACAACATTTGCTAAAAATATATATTAAAAAGTAAATGTGGGCCGTGCGCAGTGGCTCACGCCTATAATCTCAGCACTTTGAGAGGCCGAAGAGGGTGGATCACGAGGTCAGGAGTTCAAGACCAGCATGACCAACATGGTGAAACCCCCCTCTCTACTAAAAATACAAAAATTAGCCAGGCGTGGTGGTGCGCCCCTGTAATCCCACCTTCTGTGGAGGCTGAGGCAGGAGAATCACTTGAACTGGGGAGGAGGAGGTTGCAGTGAGCCGAGATCACGCCACTGCACTCCAGCCTGGGCAACAAGAGTGAAATTCCTTCTCAAAAAAAAAAAAAAAAAAGGTAAATGTTTAGCTTTTATTTACTTATTATTTTTATATATTTTGCCTGTTTATATGTTTATTTGAATATTTTTCAAAAACATGCTTTTTTAAAACAAAAATTATCTCATTTTTGTAGTTTTAATTGCTATTTTAAATACAAATATATTAGACTTTTATATACTTTAAATACCATGATATATTTAAATTCTTTAGATCATTACAGCTTATAGAATACACTGTGTGACAATCTTAATTATAACAAAGTAATAATTGTGCTTGAAAAAATAATTTTATTAAATACATTTGTAATAATTTATAAAATGAATATGTTTTAAATTTTAATGGTATATTGTTATTACTCATTCATCAACAGAATGTATGACGTGTACAATAATAATTTAGTCATCACATGTATTTGTGATTTTCAATCATGTAAAAACCATAGCTTTACATACATTTTCCTTTTCTTTTTTTCTTTTGTTTTTTTTTTTTGTTTGTTTGTTTTCTTTTTTCTTTTTTTTTTTTTTGAGACGAAGTCTTGCTCTTGTCCCCCAGGCTGGAGTGCGAAGGCGCGATCTCAGCTCACTGCAACCTCCGCCTCCCGGGTTCAAGCGATTCTCCTGCCTCGGCCCCCCCAACCCGCTCCACCCCCGAGTAGCTGGGATTGCAGGCGCCTGACACCACGCCTGGCTCATTTTAGTATTTTTAGTAGAGACGGGGTTTCACCATGTTGGCTAGGCTGTTCTAGAACTCCTGACCTCAGGTGATCCACCCGCCTAGGCCTCCCAAAGTGCTGGGATTACAGGCGTGAGCCACCGCGCCTGGCCATTTTTATTTTCTTTAAAGTTATATCCGTCAAAGGAGGAGTACAGATCATAGTTTGTTAGTATGACTTATAACTTTAAAATGTTTAGACAAAGAGCCCATAGAACTCCATTTGCACTCTTTCCCCAGGCTCCTCAAATGTTAGGGCAGGTATGTTGCCTCTGATTGATTCACCAGACTTGGGCAGGGAGCTTCACAATTTTATCCTATCATGGCACACATGGGAAATAAGAATTATAAAGGAGGTGAGATGAGATATGTGTAAGGGGTTTGCTGAAGAATTAGCAAGTTTTTTAAATTACACAATTTAAAGTAAATAAAAGTACAAAGTATTAGAGGATATAACAAATATCGAGCTTATACTCTACATGCAAGTAAAATGTTTCCAAAAATTTAAGTGAGAACAAGGATTTTCATCCACATGATTTTTAAATATTAGGCTTTACATTTAAAATGACTATATGTAATTTTGAATTTAAATGTTTGATATGATTATCCAAATTCTTAATAGCAACCATAGAATATTTCTTTTCATAAGAATAAAATAAAAATTTAAATAATTACACTTACTAAAACATAACATATATAAGCAAAAGTTCTATTTCATTCATAAATATAAGCTTGAAACTTTTATGATAATATGAATAAGATTTTTCTAATCAACTTTATTGAAAAATAACAAGTAAAATAATTGCATCAATTTCAAGTATAAAATTTCATGAGTTTTGACAGTTGTGTATACCCGTGAACCTCTGCCATGAACAAGATACAGAAAATTTCCACAATCCTCAGATTCCACGTACTCCTTTGCAGTACTGCCTTTGATCCATGCCAGAGGCAACCACTGATCTGCATTTTGTCACTATAGACAAATTTGCATTTTATACAAATGGAATCATATTGAATACACCATTTCTCTTTGACTCTTTTATTCAGCATATTGTTTTTGAAATTTATTCATGTTTTTGCATGTATCAATAGTTTGCTCCTTTTTATTGCTGAGTGGTATTTCATTTTGTGGATACATACATAAGCTTGTTCCTGGGTGGACGTTGCTGGCCCAGGGTCTGTCCACTTAGATACTGTTCCTCTGCAGCATCTTGGGCACAACTGTGACCTATATGATTAACACCATTGTGCTTTTGGACTCCAGTTGAGATGCTTTAGACCAGACTCTTTCCACCTGAGGCTTATTATAGAGACTTTTCAGTTTTCAAGAAGGAGTTTTTTCACAGAATCTGCCTGCTTAAGGATTTGAGACTCAAAGAACATTAGTGGAGTTGGTTAAAAAGATATTTTATATATAGGGATACATGGAATAGACTCAATACATTGTGAATGACGAACATGGAAAAACTTCACATTTCAGTCTACAAAAATGTTTCCAGCATTCCCAAATGTTAAGATTATAATGGTTGGTATGCAGAAAACAAGGCACCATAACTGATAGGCTTTCAAGTATTCTGTGCTTACCTTTGTGATGTGTGATTGAAAAATGGAGCAGCTTTTCTTTTGATTTTCCTTTCCATCTGGTTTTTACATCTAACAATCCAAGAGCTATATCATTTATCCCTCAAAATGGTCTCTATTTTAGTTGACTAGAGTTTTTTTTCTTTTTTTTCTGAAGGCTGAAGTCTATCCTGTGCCCTGTAGGACTGACTCTATTTCATATATCAAACATTCCTCTAGCTGATATTAGTGGGGTAAAACTTTCTACATTTTATATCTGTGATTTAAAATGAGACCAAAAAAATTACTTACCACAAGTTTTTAACAATAATATTGATGGTTGAGACTTCACAACTGGTGAATTAGAATGTGTATTTGTTCAGGTCAGTGAAACCTATTTTCACACAAACAAAAATGGTTTAGTTTACTGTACAAAATAAATGAATCAGTACATATTAATCACAATTGCTAACAAAAAAACTTGCTATATATTTGAAAAAAATAAACAATAGATCCTCTGTTCCAAGAAACATTTCATCTAAGAAAAATTGATTTTGTAATTCAAACCAGAAATTGCTCTAAATATTCAGCCTATGTTGGCTCATTTTGTATGTCATTTTATCTGGGCAACTTGTTGACATTTCTGTGTTTGTAACTTCATAGGCTGTGGTCATTTGTTACCCCGACATCACCCATCTGCACATGCATTTGTCATTCTTCTGCTGAGTTGGGCTCCACTTGAGCAATGGGAAGTTGGGGCTAGTGGAATAATACTGTTATGTGAAGGATATCATTAGAGGACAAAACCGTACTTCAAAGACCAAGCACATATGGTTTTGACTTTCATAAAGATGGCAGGTGGACATGAAAAAAAGGTTGATTTCAAATTTATTTCCATGATAGGAGGAACTTCTTAAAAGTCTGAGGAAGATTAATTTTCAATTTGGAATACCTAATTACTGAAACATGATCAGGGTTTTACAACTTCCGGAGGTAAATTTTTGGGATGACTAAGCTATCCTCATGGAAACCAATGGAGCAATTTAATAGAAGTCTCAGAATGATAAAATACTGGCAAATGTTTGGTAAGATAAGTTTTAGAAAGCCAACATGTGTAGACTACAACTCATTTGAAAAGTTTTAACCAAAGGGTTTATAAAATTTGAGAACTGAAAAATAAATGACTATCTTTAAATGTGATCCAAATAAAATTGAGTATAGTTTCAAAATCAGTTTTTATTTAAAAAGAGCAATTTATTATGTACCTCATTTATTTTTAATGCTGTTCAGGATATCAATGCCTGAAAATGCTAACATTTCTTTAATAATGGCAACATTGGGCCTTTCTAAAAGCATTTTTTTCCCTTCTGTATAAATGATGTATGCTTACAATCAAAGAAGGGGTAAAGATTGGAAAAATATAAACATTCAAATTTTAGCAATTATTCTGCAGACATTTGCACATGCAGCATTTGAAAATCTTTTAGCGATAATTGCAATGGCAAAAATAAAAGAAATCACTTAAAAGTCCATTTGTAGGGGACAGATTAAATGAGTCCTGTTACAAATGTGCAATAAAATGCTATATGCCACTCCACATTAATAATACAGATCTATGTATAATGTCATTGAATAACCTCCAAGATATAGTGATAATATAAAAAAAATGTTCAGAACAATGTGGAGAGTGCAGTACTAGCATTTTTTTTTCTAAAATACAAAATGCAATCCTGGCATTTTTGTAAAAAATCATGTACCATATATGTATCCTTTATATATATAATTTTAAAAATAAAAACACTGGTCAAAATTTTAAAATAAGATGCTGCCTTTTCCTCATTAATAATATGCATACAGTAAGAACAGAGAGACTTCACTGTCCTCAGGGGACTGCTCTAGTCTCTTAGCTACCAAGTATCTCGAAGTTACAAATGCATTTTAAAACCCTTATACAGAAGTAGTTTAGTAACTTGTATAAGCAGTTGAGAGTACTTTTTATGAGAATTTATTTATTTATGGTAAGGACTTCCCTTCTTGAGACCTGCTTTTTCTTTTCTAGTAGCCAGGGTTTTTGTGAACAAGGGCGTATTAGTCTGTTTTCACACAGCTGTAAAGAACTACCTGAGACTGGGTAATTTATAGAGAGAAGAGATTTAATTGACTCATAGTTCCACAGGCTGGAGGGGAGGCATGGCTTGGGAGGGAGGTCTCAGGAAACTTACGGTCATGGCAGAAGGCAAAGGGGAAACAGGCACATCTTCTCATGGCTAACAGGAGAGAGAGAAGGCAAAAGCAGAAGTGCCACATACTTTTAGAAAACCAGACCTCAGGAGAACTCAATCACAAGAACAGCAAGGGGGAAATCCAACCCTATGATTCAATCACTTCCTACCAAGTTCCTCCCTCAACATTGGCAATTACAATTCAACATGAAATTTGGGTGGGGACACAGAGCCAAACCATATCATTAACTGTTGGACAGGAATTCACATGAAGAATTTTGGAGAGAGGTAAATTGTAACAGAGCAGGCTTTGCAGGCATCTCTGGCAGGGGAGAGGGACCGGAGGCTTCATTATTTCCATATTTGTGACAGGCAAGAGTCATATACTTTATAAATCTTTTGTACTTTTTAGTGTGATTATCTAGTGTAGCTCGTTATGTAATAGTGCATTTAGGGAAAGGTTTTTTGAGTATCAGATAAAGATTGATAACTCAGAGGGCAGAGGAACATAGAGATCATCTCTAAGTGAGAAGAGAGGTCACTTTTTGGGGGTGGGAAACGTGGAGGAAGTATCTTCTCAGAAGGAATTATCAGCATAGTTAAGAATCTCAGATAGAATATTGGGCCCTGAAACCAGACCAGGCATCTCCTTATCCTCCTATTCAGCAGCAGAAAGTGGTCTAGGCAGGTTCTTTAATCTCCTGGCCATGCACCAGCAGGGATTGAGTGGATGCTCTTCCAGGACAGGAAGGTCGCAGCAGAGATAAAACCTGATGAAATGCTCTATGTCTCCCTCCCAATTCTGATATGTCCCACCCTCACCCCACACAGCCTATTCAAATTTGGGGGATGAAGCAAAAAGCAGTTATGTTATGGTTTGAATGTGTCCCCAAAAAGTGTGTGTTAGAAACTTAATCCCCAATACAATGTGTTGGGATGTGGGGCCTAATGGGAGGTGTTTAGGTTACAATCCCTCATGAATGGATTAATGCTGATTATAAAAGGGCTTGAGGCTGCAAGCTCACTCTCTCACTCTCTCTTGCCTTTTTTTATCTTTCCACCATGGGGTGATGTGAGAAGAAGGCCCTGATCAGATGCCAGCCCCTCAGTATTGAGCTTCTCAGCCTCCAGAATCTTGAGCCAATACATTCCTGTTTATTTTAAATTACCCAGTTCTGTTATAGCAGCACAAAACGAATGGACACAAGTCCATTTAGAGAAATGGACTCAGAGAAAATATATAGCATTAAATAAATGCACACATTAGAAAAAAAAGATCTAAAATCAATGATCTAAGCTTCTAATTTAGGACCATTAGAGAGAGAAAGCAAAGTAAATCTAAAGCAATCAGAATAAATAAATAAAATTTAGAGCAGAAACCAATGAAATTGGAAACAGGAAAACATTGGAGGAAATCAATGAAAACAAAAACTGGTTCTTTGAAAAGTTCAGTAAAAGTGACAAAACTCTAGCCTGGCTAACTCAGAAAAAAAGAGAAAAAACAATCTAAATTACCAAGATTGGAAATAAAAAAGGGATTATCACTGCTGATCCCATGGATATTAAAATGGTAACAAGATAGTACTATGAACAACTCTTCATCCACAAATTGAGTAACTTAGATGAAATTACCAGTTCTTTGAAAGACACAAACTACCAAAATTCACTTAAGGAGAAAGAGATAACCAGCATAGATATATATATATTAAAATTTGTAAATTAAAAAATTTTTAAATGTTTCCAAAAAAGCACTTGTCCCATATAGTTTCACTGGTGAATTCTACCAAACATTTTAGTAAACAATATTGCCAATCCTCCACAATCCCTTTCAGAAAATATAAGTAGAGTGAATACTTCTCAACTCTTTTACAAGGCCCGTGTACTCTAATATGAAAACCAGATAAACACATTATAAGGAAAATAACACAGTAATATCTGTAATGGACATATATGTAAAACTTCTTAACAAAATACTAGAAAATCTAATTTGGCAATATATAAACTGGAAAATACAACATGATCAACTTGGGTTTATTCTAGGAATGAAACGCTAGTTCAACATTCAAAAATCAATTAATGTAATTCACCCTATTAAAAGACTAAATAAGAAAATCAATATGATTATATAAATAGACCCAGAAAAAATATTTGACAAAGTATCTAATTGTATTACAAATGAATGAAATAACCTCACTACATATTGTAGAGAGAAAATACGCTGTCCTACGTAATTTTGGAAATGAGTGGAGACTAAGGCAAAAGGAAATGTATATGGACACCATATCGCAGTTGGTTGTTGTTTTATACATGCAGATAAACAATTCTGAAACCACTATGGATATATACTAGAATTAAATAAGTACAAGAAAGAAAAATAGTAGGAGTTAGCCTTCTTATTATTGGGATGGTTGGTAGGTTACAGAGAGGCAAAGTTGCGGAGGGCGGGGGGAACTGGACTAAAGTTGCCACTGAACTAGAGTCCTGTGTGCTGCTGAACTAGAGTTGGACACATCAGTATAATTTTATGTTTAGCTTAATCTAGTTAAAGACATACTTCCCATTAGGCCCCACCTCCAACACTGGGAATCAAATTTCAGCATGAGATTTGGAGGGGACAAATATCCAGACTATATCAGAGGGTTGTAATGAATTTAATTTAGTCTATCAGTCTCTTTTTTAGCATTTCTTTGAAAAATATGTTCCACACAAGGAAAGCACTGACTCTAAGCTGTGATTCACAATAAACTCAAAGTAGGCCTCACCAAAATTAGAAAATAGAATTCAGTAATATGTATAAATCCTTGTACATCACAGCCAATTGGGGCTTATTCTAGGGATGTAAATATGCTGTATTAGAAAATTATCAATTTATGTAACTCACCACGTTGACAGAATAAGAAAAATGTTGAGAAATTAAAAATCCTTTAATAATACTTTTAGTGTACTAGAAACAGAAAGGACTGCTTTAAACTGATAAACTCTATCCATAAAAATATACATAGTAAGCAACATTCTTAATGCTGACTTATTGAAAGATTTCTGTCCAAAATTGAAGCGAATCTTATATCAAATATTGAATTGCATCTAATATTGCTTCTGATGCAATAAGGCAAGGCAATAAGGCAAGAAGAAATAAGTAGAAGTTATATAGTACAAAAGAAATAGTTCCCTATTCAAAAAGAGCAGAGGAATGTAGAGGAGGTGCTGAATATTCAAACATCTCTTTATTTTTATAAACCAGTAGTAACTGAAAAATAAAACCAAAATCAAAGATTCTCTCAACAACAGCATCAAAAACATTTAAGTACTTAGTAGTAAATTTAACCAAAGTTGAATGCACAGGCATTTTTATGAAATATATCTGAAAGAAATAAAACAGGATATATGGAGAACTATCTTATATTCTTTATTTTGAAGGCTCAGCTATTCATTTCTACACAAATCTGATCTAAGATTTAGTACGATTCTATTCACAATCTTGACTGATACTTTAATTGTAGAAATTGACAAGTTGATTGTAAAATGTATTTGTCAAAAAACAAGGAAAAGCTAAGACAATCTTGAAGAACAGAGTTGGAGGCTTAACACTGCCACATATTAAGATTTAAACAAAGGTATAATACTAAGTAGAATGTACATAGAAGTAGAACTGAATAGAGAATCTATAAACAAGTGTATTTATATATATATTTATCTCCCTATTGTGTTTGGTATACATTTTTATGTATTTTATAACATAAAAGAGTGTTTGTATAATGTGTTCAATGATTAACTGTTAAAACAGTGGATAGTTAGTAAGGTCCCAAATATTTCATGAAACTTTCACTGACCACTCTATTCTTTTCTTCATCTACTGAACTTCAGTGATGATTATTTACATCTCTCACTCATGTTTCATTTTTTAGTTTGGGGGGTCTTGAACAAGAGAGGGTATCTTATGTTTTTTATTGTCTGTGGGGTCTAGGAGATCATCAAGACACTTTAAACTCAGAACAAAGCCCTCTTCCCGGCACCCTCAGCTTTCCTCTCCAAAACCAATCACACCAACAAAACCAAATCAAGCCAAGCCAAATCCAACTACATCAAATCAAATGATGTGCAAATGAAATATAACTAAACTCCAACATAACAAATCGCGTTGTCCTGAGTTCCTTGTACATATTTTATAAACTGTTAATTTATGTTATTTCTATTCCCATATCTCTGAAAGTATCAACTCTCAATACCAATCAGAAAACTTGCTTTGGGAATGATTTTCTGTATATATAGAAATAAACTACGGTATTCATCTAGAGAAACTCATTGAAGGCTACTTAGGGGAGACCCAGGGACTTGATGAAGTGTCTAATTAGAGCCTTCTAAAGGTGAACTCTAAACATATATGTCAAATAGGGTTAGCAATTTAACAGTATTGAAAAGTTCTGAAGGAACTGTTACTCCAGCAAAATTTCTGAGATATTTTTAGAATACTAAACATATAGCCCCAATCCTCTGTGGGTTTTTTTTTTTTTAAGTAGAAATAAAAAAGGTGGAATCGATGGATTAGGTAAAAGTTGAAACCAAATATTTAGGACATCTCAACAAGCACCAAATCAATTATATTACTTTTTCTGCTCTTCACTTAAAAACCATCTGGGGCTGTCATGTAGACTTGGCCTTTTTTTAAGTACTGTCAAGAAGTAAGTGTCTAGATTGTCAAGAACACATGCCTCACACCACCGTACAACATTTGTGTAAGGAATGCAACTTATACAACAATGGGTAAAATTATATGGTGTTCAGGAAGTCTGTAAGTATGAATAGCTACAGTATAATGTAAATGTTTATAAAGCATGGTCAGCAGTTAGAGATTTCGCACCTTCTATCAAACACCTGATTTATTTTGTTATTTTTCTTAAAATTTTTTATATTACATTTTCAATATCAGAGTATTTTCAGACTTTAAAATATATTTTGGTCATTTCAGATTTCAAAAATTTTACCTATGTCTCTGGATGCTTCTCTTTTCGTTCTTTATAGATCTTTAGAGGGGCAAAATCATTAAGGAGTTGTATTATTTCACCGTCACATAAGAAGTATGGAGGGTTATGGAGGGAATCCACAATGTCTTTAGATTATAGAAATGGTATTTTGGGCATTAGTAGTAAAAGTAATTAAATTGCATTTCAGTTTGTTCATGGATTTTCAGTACTCTCAGAATTTCATTCATCTGACTAGTCACTATAAATGGCTTTACTAAGTTTACAAACTGTAGCACCTGGTCTCACAGAACTTACCAGCTAATCTGATGCAATACATGAATAAATATCTGTGCATTATAATTTTAAGGGAATGCCTATGAAATAAAAATGATTTATCATTCTCTAGGGGAAAAAAGCCCAGGACTTTAATTTCGTGGATTCTTTTTCTATCATACATTGTTCAAATATGAACTCGAATGTTTGTGCTTACCCATAAGATATCTGTAATCACTTAAGAATGTTCATTTAATCTTTCTGATGTTAATTCTGTATCACCTTTTGTTCTCTAGCACATAGTTCCTCTATGGTAATATTTTTCAAAATTCTCAGTGGTTTGTTTTGCTGGCATTACATTTTTGAGGCCTAATAATTTTCCTGACTCATTCTGAACACTTTGAGGTACTGAACAGGGGAATTTCTTTTGTGTTAAGGTGATAATATCTCCAAGGAGTTGAGTATAAATGGCTGATGATGCCATTACTTATGCGTTAATATCATTTTATTTTACTGACATCTTCCATGCATCCTTACAAAACCTAATATATTACGTTGGAGAGGAGGACAGTTGTAAGAGAGTATCTTTGACTTAGCTATTCACACATACTTGGCATTATTACTTGGGATAATGTAGACCTATGCTAGTGAGCATTTACCAGTCACCAACATACTCTGCAGATGGTAAGGTTTGGGGAGTTGGAGCCACTGACTTCCAAGTACCACTGCAATTCTGATGTGCCGTATTCCATAGTTGCTATTTAAAAAATTAGGAAGCTTAAGAGCACAAATAAGTGAACAGATAGGTAAAGCTGTAATGACCCCAATTCTGAAAAAGAACTTGCAATGATTTTGAGTTTTTTCACAAATAGACTTGGATGACATTTTATTTACCTCTTTACTCATATTCACCCATAGAAAATGCCTTAAGTAACTGCTTCGTATTTTCCCTTTGGTGATTTTTTTTAAGAAACTATGGAGAAGAACTGGTATGAAACTAGAGTTCTTCCCTTTTCTATGGAGAATCACATATTCAGTGATTATGATGCTCCAAACTCAGATTAACAAATGTAATCTTGGACTCATGAGAGATGTTGCTGTCAGAGCCAGCTCGCTTCTCTTCTTCTTCTTATCATAAATGCTTGTTCAAAATTTGTTAGTTTGGAATCAGTTTTTTTAATTCCATTAAAATAGCCAGTGATCTCTTTCCCTCCCTCCCTCCCTCCCTCTTTTCCTTCCTTCTTTCCTTCCTTCCTTCCTTCTTCCTTCCTTCCTTCTTCCTTTTTTGAAGCTTAACAATATTACTGCTTATGGATCTTTAAGCCATTAAAATGAAGGCAAGGGTACTTAATGGAAATTCTTTTATTAAAAATGTTTGGTTATAAGTAAGAGGCAGAACAATGTGTAAGATATATTAAAGGATGATAATAAAATATTAGCAATATTAACCTTAGCATTAAAATAATGGTAGATGGTACACTTGATACCCTTCAAAAATCCTGCAGGTCTTATTCACTGTTCAGAGTTTGGGCTCTTCACTCTGGCTAAGAAATGTATAGCACTGCTGCTGAAGATTGGAAAAAGAGGTTGAGGTCAGAGGTTGACACAGTGAGGGAGTTTGCTCTTTAAGAGGTTATCTGTGGATCTGCAAAGCCAAAGTGTAATTGGGTTTTGTGATGTGATTTTAGTGTGTAATTGTATATGATCTTAGTTTCAAAGACAAGCTTGGAAGATTTTTCTAGCTTGTTTGTGATACCAATTTTAGGGATTGTGTGCAATCTTGGATGGACAATTCAGAATGATCAAAAATAGCCATCAGAAGTGATACAGCAAGTATTTGATTCACTCTAATTATAATTTCAGCACATTGATTCTAATGTGATATGTTGTCTTTTTTAGGACATTACATTGGTTCGGAAAATAAAGATATTTATTTTTCATGGCTAGTATCAATATAGCCAGTTTTATGTCATCACTGTGGCTCTCAGTGTTTCAGAGTTTGAACTTGAGGATTACTGAATTATTATAAAGAAAGAAAAAAAGTTAGAGCGTTGTAATTGGTTGTCTAGGGGGTTTTTGGCCACAAAATTTGTTAAGTTTCTGATTCCTGAATATTCTTAACAATGGAAAATAAACACTTCCTTATTGTTTTAGTTGTTTAGGGATGCCTTGATTAAGCTGTCACTGCTGTCAGTTAGGTTCTTATAAGCCTGGTTGGATCTATTTCATGTTAGGAAAAAGCTCAGATAAATCCAGGAAAGCTTAATGTTTATCCAATGTGAAAATAATTACTCAAAAGTGTTATTCTTAATCCAGATAATTAGAGCGAGGAAGGAAAGATCAGTGTCATTGTGAATTATGTCCCGGCAATTGACTCTTGGTCCTTGTAAGTTTCAGGTGAAGATGTGAATGGATAAAGGTTAGATTAAACATAATCCAAAGTAGCTGCAACCTTAATCTGTTATGATACAAGGATGATCACTTAAAAAGAGCTGGATTGTGGGATTGTTTCTGGTTGGATAAGATGCTGCTCAACTGGGACTAGTCTTAAAACATGCTTAGCACCATGTCACTGCAGCTGTAAGCACTTGTGCACGACTGCAGCCTGCCACAACTAACAGGCGCTCCTGGGCTCAAGCTGTATATTGGAGTATCATACTTTCACAATCTCTGGGCTTCATATTAACATGCCTTCCAACAGTCTGCATGGAAAAATATTTCCTGCGACCTTTGTGGCATCTCTTCTTGGTTGTAATAAGCATGGATTTGGAACCTGCTAAAACTCTGGTACGAAGTATGCAGCCATTTATTAACTTGTACAATTAGAGGACATATGTGTAATTGAGCTTATTTTTTACTCTAATTCAATACAGAAACTGTGTTTTCAATGATTCTTTAATGTAATACACAATGTTTGTAGAACGAATTATCTGTCAAGTATTTTGAAAATAAAGTTAGGCCTTTCTAAATATTTCTGAGGAGTTAAAATATTTTTTGAAGTATGATTAATAAATTCCAAAAGGCTTTC
This sequence comes from Homo sapiens, assembly GCF_000001405.40. Taxonomy (NCBI): domain Eukaryota; kingdom Metazoa; phylum Chordata; class Mammalia; order Primates; family Hominidae; genus Homo; species Homo sapiens. The sequence goes on from NC_000004.12 coordinate 111,116,496, forward strand.
AAAAGGCAGAATGCAAAATCTAGCTATCTCTAATTAAAATGAAGAAATATTTAGAGGTTCATCTATTTATCCCAATAAATATCAGAAATTTAATATCCTTAATTTCTGAGTGGTAAAGTTGGTTTGCTTTGATTATACAAAATAGAACAAAAAATACTTTAGCAGTTATTATGTGAAACCTTATTGACTAAATTGAAATGCACAGCTATTTCATGACAACATTTAATGATTTGTTTTAGTCATTATATTATAGCAATTTATTGCTACTAAATAGTTAAGAAAATACTGCAATGTAAAAGTTAGTGATGCTAATGCTCTGAAACAGATGCTTAGTTTTATTTGAAGTAATCAAAGTTCTAAAAGGTTAGTTTAAATATTTTAATAATGTGTCTTTTAGTAAGCATCATTCAAATATATCAATATATTTTTAACCTTCATTAAACTCCACATTTACTCTATCCAATCCTTGCTGTCATGGATAAATATATAACATCATATGCTATAAATGTAACAGACATGTTTCCAGTTACACTAATGGCTTCCATACGTATTTGTATAAAATTTGTTTTTCAAAGACTATAAACATTTGTTGAGCATTCACCACCCATATTTAGAACTTGCTCCATATTTTCTTTTTCTTTTTCTTTTTTTGAGATGGAGTTTCACTCTGTTGCCCAGGCTGGAGTGCAGTGACATGATCTCGACTCATTGCAACCTCCTCCTCCCAGGTTCAAGCAACTCTCCTGCCTCAGCCTCCCGAGTAGCTTGGAACTACAGGTGAGTATCACCATGCCCAGCTAATTTTTGTATTTTTAGTAGAGACGTGGTTTCACCATGTTGGCCAGGCTGGTCTCTAACTCTTGCTCCATATTTTCACAAATTATTTAATGTCATTTGTTTATGTAACTGCTGTGTTACCAAGGGCCTGTGAAACACCAGATAGTGGTATAACGGCTATGAATACAGCAATGAACAAAGTCCCTGTCCCCGCAAAGCTTATGTTCTTGTGGTTAAAGAGAAAATATAAAATAAAAAAGTAAGTGTACAGCATGCAAGAGAGTGGCAAAAGCAATGAAGAAAGATGTATGGTTAGGGGTTTAGGAATGGGGCATGATTACTATTTAAAGTGAGAAGATTAGGGAGGGCTTCATCGAGTAGGCGACCTTTGCACCAAGGCCTGAAGGATGTAAGAGAATGGGTTGTGTGACACTTGGCTTCTGAATAATTACTCTTTCTCAGTAAACAGAACAATTTGCTAGGTAAAGTTTTCATTAGATACTGAGAACATAGTTATCATCTCAGGATTTACGGATGAGTTTGGCTGAAGTACTATCTTCTCTATATTTGAAAAACGTATTCAAATTCAACAACCTTCGATAAGTCTTCGGTCTAAAATCTTTGTAAACATTTGTGCTCTTGATTTGAGAAGAGCAAGAATGTGTCTTTTTATCTTCCAAGGAATGAAAGAAAACATATAGCTCTTACTCTTCATGAAGATGCACCTGTATTGTTGTCAGGAAGAGTAGGAGCAAGGAGGAACAATGCCTCCTGGTGCTTGTTGAATTGTGTGTGAGTGCTGCAGTTCTGAGAAACTGTGTTGTAATTGTGCGTTCTATCACCTATAGAGGTGTGCCTCAAACCAGGTCTTGCCTTGTGAGTTAGTTGACATAATAGGTGTGAAAGTGTGTGCATAGGCTAGGCGCGGTGGGTCACGCCTGTAATCCCAGCACTTTGGGAGGCCAAGGCGGGTGGATCACAAGGTCAGGAGTTCAAGACCAGACTGGACAAGATGTTCACCATCAGCCGGGCATGGTGGCAGGTGCCTGTAATCCCAGCCACTCGGGAGGCTGAGGCAGAGAATTGCTTGAACCTGGGAGGTGGAGATTGCAGTGAGCCAAGATCGCGCCACTGCACTCCAGCCTGGACAACAGAGCGAGACTCCATCTCAAAAAAAAAAAAAAAAAGTGTGTGTAGAAGTCTCACCCACCTAATGTGGCTATTTTTTTTCCTTAATTTCTAAAATTGTTTCATTGCAAATATCCCAAGAGAAGGTACATTTTAAATCTTTCTCATGCATTTATAGTCCAGTGTGAATACATTTACCAGATAATAACTGGAGGAAATAAATTGCTAAGGAGGGAAAGGAAAGGATAGGAGCACGAAGTTTCTAGGTCCCCAGACAAGGAGAGGAACGTAAGGGATGCAACTGAGAGAATACTTACAGAGAGGGGAGGTTGAAGTTACTAAAAACACTTAACTACTTCACGCTCTAGCTAAAGGGCTTCTAGCACAAGCTATAGCCAATGAACTTAGAAAAAGGAGAATAAGGCATAATTAATATAAAGAATAATAAAGTCAGATGAGAATGCAGAGGTCCAGAAGAGAAGTGACAGATATGGTTTACATTCATACACACAGTGTTAACAGAGCTCAAAGTACTCCCAGCCTAGTACCCTTTTATAACAATTACCTCTAAACTGATGCAGGCATTCCAAAACTTGAATAGACAGTGTCAATGAACAACAAGTTTCTATTTTCTCGTAAGGAAGAAAAAAGTAAGAATAAATAGTTTCAAAATAAAGCTGAACCATAACAGTCCTGAGCCCTAAAATCTGAAGCTTCTGTACTGCTAACAACAAAGCTTGTCCCCTTAGAATGGGGTCTTTCCCTGTTCAGCTCCACAAAGCCAATACACAAAACTGGAAGTGAGGGTCAAGCAGTGAAGGCTTTTTTTCAATGACCATGGAATTGAGAAATGGGAGCGTGGCTTTCAAATCAATTTATGTGGTCAACAAACATGAAAAAAAGCTCATCATCACTGGTCATTAGAGAAATGCAAATCAAAACCACAGTGAAATACCATCTCACACTAGTTAGAATGGTGATCATTAAAAAGTCAGGAAACAACAGATGCTGGAGAGGATGTGGAGAAATAGGAACGCTTTTACACGGTTGGTGGGAGTGTAAATTAATTCAACCATTGTGGAAGACAATGTGGTGATTCCTCAAGGATCTAGAACCAGAAATACCATTTGTCCAAGCAATCCCATTACTGGGTATATACCCAAAGGATTATAAATCATTCTAGTATAAAGACACATGCACACATATGCTTATTGTGGCACTGTTCACAATAGCAAAGACTTGGAACCAACCCAAATGCCCTTCAATGATAGACCACATAAAGAAAATGTGGCACACATACACCATGGAATACTATGCAGCCATAAAAAAGGATGAGTTCACGTCCTTTGCAGGGACACGGATGAAGCTAGAAACCATCATTCTCAGCAAAGTAACACAAGAACAGAAAACCAAACACCACATGTTCTCACTCATAAGTGGGAGTTGAACAATGAGAACACATGGACACAGGGAGGGGAACATCACACACCAGGACCTGTTTGGGGGTTGGGGGCTAAGGGAGGGATAGCATTAGGAGAAACACCTAATATAGATGATGGGTTGATGGGTGCAGCAAACCACCATGGCACATGTATACATACATAAGAAACCTGCACATTCTGCATATGTATCCCAGAACTTAAAGTATAATATAAATAAATAAATAAATAAATAAATAAATAAATAAATAAATAAAGCTAGTTACAGAAGCAAAATACAATGCAGAGGTAATAAGATTTCTAGATGGGTCAAATGTTTACCTGCCCCCCCAAAAAATTCTTGGCTAGTGAGGGGTAAGAGGGTTAGGATATAGGGTTTCTCTAATGAAGGGGTTGGATATTAAAAGTGAGGGGAGGAATATTCATTTATCTTCTGGAAATGGACCATGAATTCTCTGGAACCAGAGTGCTGCCTTCTTTTCTGTCCATTCATGGCTTCTCCTCATTGCCATGGTGATTGTCAACTGTCCCAGTGTGAGTGGGAGTGTCATTTAGCATAGAAATGAGATTATAATGAAGCCTGAGATCTTTTTGATGTCATTTAGTCAGCTATCTTGGTTCTAACCAGTCTCAGCTGGTCTGGTTACAGAAAGAACTTTTTATCACATGTGTCTTGTTTCTTTTTTTTTTTTTTTTCTTCCTCAGTACTGTCTTTTTACAAGTGACATGCATCCTGTTTCTTAAAGATAAGCAGAATTAGGGCAGGGTAGAAAGTCAGCTATGTCACAGGAACTACACTGGGTAAAAGTACTACAATCAGCTTTGAGTCACCCAAAGCCCACAATCCTCTCAAATTCTTCTATGTATCTATGTATTTCCTTCCTCAACTTGACCTTGCTGAAAGATCTAAGGCTTTTTGAGACAGAGGAAATTACACAGAGATCCCAAAGCAGGGCCAGCTGAGGAGACAGGGGTGATGGCAAGGTGGAGATGAGTTTCTGGTGTGGGCCGTTCTTTGGAGGTGGGAGTAGCAAGTTGGGTGGGATGTCTGGGTACTAGAATCACCAGACAGCTCTCATAGCTGTTGAGGGCAGGTGTTGATGGCAAGAGAAGATGAGATAACATGGGCAGAAATGACATCAATACTTTTTTTAAAAAAATAATTTCAGCTCCTATTTTAGATTCAGGGAGTGCATGTGCAGATTTGTTCCATGGGTATATTGTGTGACACTGAAATATGGAGAACAAATGGCTCTGTCACCTAGGTACTGAACATAGTACCCAATAGTAGTTTTTCAGCCCTTGCCACACTCCCTCTCTCTCCCCTCTGGTAGTCCCCAGTGTTCATTGTTTCCATCTTTATGTCCATGTGTACTCAATGTTTAGCTACCATTTTTTTTTATTATACTTTAAGTTCTAGGGTACATGTGCACATTGTGCAGGTTAGTTACATATGTATACATGTGCCATGCTGGTGCGCTGCACCCACTAACTCGTCATCTAGCATTAGGTATATCTCCCAATGCTATCCCTCCCCCCTCCCTCCACCCCACAACAGTCCCCAGAGTGTGATTTCCCCTTCCTGTGTCCATGTGATCTCATTGTTCAATTCCCACCTATGAATGAGAATATGCGGTGTTTGGTTTTTTTGTCCTTGCGATAGTTTACTGACGATGATTTCCAATTTCATCCATGTCCCTACAAAGGACATGAACTCACCATTTTTTATGGCTGCATAGTATTCCATGGTGTATATGTGCCACATTTTCTTAATCCAGTCTATCATTGTTGGACATTTGGGTTGGTTCCAAGTCTTTGCTATTGTGAATAATGCCGCAATAAACATACGTGTGCATGTGTCTTTATAGCATTAGCTACCATTTTTAAGTGAGAAAATGCAGTACTTGGTTTTCTGTTTCTGCATTTATTTGCTTAGGATAATGGCTTCTAGCTGCATCCATATTGCTGCAAAGAACTGGATTTCATTCTTTTTTATAGCTATGTGGTATTCCATGATGTATATGTACCACATTTTCTTTCTCCAGTCCACCGTTGATGAGCATCTAGGTTGATTCTATGTCTTTGCTACTGTGAATAGTGCTACATTGAACATATAAATGCATGTGTATTTTTGGTAGAATGATTTGTTTTCCTTTGGGCATTTACCCACTAATGGATTGCTGGGTTGAATGGTAATGTTGTTTTAAGTTCTTTGAGAAATCTCCAAACTGCTTTTCACAGTGGCTGAACTAATTTCAATCCCACCAACAGGGTATATACCTTCCCTTTTTTGAGAAATCTCCAAACTGCTTTCCATAGGGTTTGAACTAGTTTACATTTCCACCAACAGTGTATAAGTGTTTCCTTTCCTCTGCAGCCTCACCAGAATCTGTTACCTTTTGACTTTTTAATAATTGCTGTTCTGACTGGTATGAGATGATATCTTATTGGACAGCAAGATTTATTGATTAGCAATCAAATGTACTTAAGGGAGAGATATCCCTTGGCAGGTGTGGTTGATATCCTAATACCTTTCCATGTCCTCTGGGTTAGGGTGAAGAACTTGTTCCTTCATCAAAGTAAAATAAAAATACAACATTATAATTTTAGTGTTTTGTTTAAAACTACTTATTTGTTTGCTTGAAACAATTAAATCTTCCCTTACATGAAGAAGGAGAGTAAGTTGTAATTGAACCTTATAATACAGGAAACAGACATTTAGGTAGAAAAACCACCAGGCATCAACCTAATCATTGAATGTTTCCCGTAGTAAAAGTTGTTGTAATTAGTACCTTTCACAAAGACAAAAGAGAAGCAATTGATTCAATTTGAAAAACAAATAGAAATTTAATATTATAGGAATACAAAGCAACTTCTTAAATACAAAAATATTATCCATTTTATTTTGTTAATTCTAAGATGCATCTTACAATTGTTTGCATCTCAGATATGATTACATAAATCATTTCGTTTAAGATCATCTACAATGCTAGTCCCTTGAATTAAGAAATGAAAGACAAATGTCATTATTATTATTAGTGACAACTTCTGAAAATTCTTGCCAAGAAAATAAGACAAAAACAGATATAAAACTTTAGGAAGGATACAAATTCATCCCTATTAGCAGATTATGTGATTATTTTTCCCAAAAACCCAAGGGTCAGCTGATAAACTACTAGAACTGATAAGATGATTCATTAAGTGGCAGGATATAAAATAAATATGAGATATTAATGACCAGTTAGAGCTTTGTTACATCCTCTAACAAATCATTGCTTTGTTTACCAAGCAGAGAGATAATGCTTCTATTGAAAAAATATAAAGAAAGATAATTTCAACTATGATTATAAAAATTACTTTTGTTAAGACACCATAAGCATAATAAAAGGGCAAATAACAACTTGAAAAATATTAGCAATATATGTATAACAGGCAAAAATGTAGAATCCTAAAATATAAAGAACTGTTAAAAATTAGAAGGGGAACACTTCTATAGAAAAATAGCAAAAAAAAAAAAAAAAACAAAAAAGGAGGTAAATCACAAAAATACTATACTAATCTGTGAAAAAGAGAATGCTCAACTTTATTAATATTAACATTTAAATAACTATAAGGTACCATTTATCTTCTGTGTCAGTTATCAATTAATACATAATACATTCCCCAAATGTATTACATATTAACTTTGTAACTTAGTGGCTTAAACATGGATATCACTGGCTTCCCACACTGGTCTTTTCATAGGGTTTCTTACAACTGGCAGCTTTCCACAGAGTGTGTAGACAGAGGGAGAGAGAGGGAGGGGGGGAGAGAGAGAGAGGGGGTGGGGAGAGGGGGGGGGTGGGGAGAGAAAGAGAGAGAGAGAGAGAGCGCAAGCCCAGGATAGAAGTCATTTTTTTGCAACCCAACTTTGGAAGTGACATTCCATTGCTTCTGCCATAGTCTGTTCAATAGAGGTAGATCAGAAATTGTTATGGTTTGAATGTTTTCATTCCCTGCAATACTCATGTTGAAACGTAATCCCCAATGTAACAGTGTTGGAAGGTGGGGCCTAGTGGGAAGTGTTGAGATCATGAGGGCTCCATCCTCATGAATGGATTAATGCTACCAAAAAAAGAGCTTGAAGAGGTGGTTTTGCTCTCTTTCACTCTTTTGTCGTGTGAGAAACAGTACTTGCACCCTCTGGAGAATTTGGTGTCCAGGACAACATCTTGGAGGTGAAAACTCCAAGGTGGAAACTTGCAAGGTGGGACCTTGCAAAATGCCAAACCTGCTGGCACCTTAATTTTGGACTTCCCAGCCTCCAGAACTGTGAGAATAAATATATATTATTAATGAACTAGCCGGTCCATGTTATTTTGTTATAGAAATACAAAATGGATTAAGACAGGAATCCAGCACAACTCAAGGAAAGAGGATCACCCAAAGATGTGAATACTAGAGAACAGGAATCCTTGGGGGGTCATCTTAGAGATTATGCATTCACATCTCCCATTAAACAGTTAAGATTAAAAATAAACGGCTGGGCGCGGTGGCTCACGCCTGTAATCCCAGCACTTTGGGAGGCCGAGGCGGGCAGATCACGAGGTCAGGAGATCGAGACCATCCTGGCTAACACGGTGAAACCCCGTCTCTACTAAAAATACAAAAAATTAGCCGGGCGTGGTAGCGGGCGCCTGTAGTCCCAGCTATTCGGGAGGCTGAGGCAGGAGAATGGCGTGAACCCGGGAGGCGGAGCTTGCAGTGAGCGGAGATCGCGCCACTGCACTCCAGCCTGGGCTACAGAGAGAGACTCCGTCTCAAAAAAAAAAAAAAAAAAAAAAAAAGATTAAAAATAAACATATACAAGAAAGCAAAGAGTGAAAGTTTTGCGTTATAAAGGGTGATGAAATATACGGTAGTAAAAGAATACATTGTTGTAAACTTTCTCAAGAATATTTTGTATGAAGAGTAATACGACTTTCATACTCTTAGAAACATAATTACGTTTCTAGAAATTTAACATAAAGATAAAACAGGAATACACACAAAAATCTATGGAAAGGGATGTTTACCACAGCCTTATTTATAATAGTGAAAAAGTATAAGTAACTTTCACAAAGAGAGGAAAGATGAAATAATTTATAGTTAAATCAGGATGATAGACTACTTTACAATTTATGATGTTTCTAAAGTACATTTCATAGAATTGGAAAAGCTCACATTTTTTAAACAGAAGAAACAAGATGCAAATTACTGTGTAGTACAACTTTGATTATTAAAAATAACATACATATGTATACATATATAAACATACATACATAGCAACAGAGACATAAATCAATTATTACAAATATACACCTTTGGGCAAGACGATTGGTATAATTATAAGTAAAACATTTAAGAACATTGTTTTGATTTGTAGAAATGTCTATGTGTACAAAAAGGAACTTTCCCAACATTTTCCTTTGCTCCTTCATTTTCTCTTGCCAGTGCAAAGTAGAGGGTTATGATTTAATGTAAAGACATGATTAGCTATGTTGGCAACAGTATGTCCAGCCATTCTAATTGGTGGTATGCCACATGATGGACAGGACCAAAACTATGGCATACCACTGAACTGAGAACAGTTTCCATACCTCGAGGCCCAGTATTAGTCTTGGCTAAAATACTACTTGATGCTAACAAATACTATACTTTAAAAGTAATTTCGTGTTGGCATATATTTAACATCATTTGGTGCTTTTTAGCTAAAGTTACTGAGTTTTAGCTATGCTTCTAATAGGAATCTACTATAAATCTGCTTTCAATAAGTCAAATGTCTCCACTATCACCAATGAACATTTTTCAAATCACCCATGATGTGTTTAAATTAGAGTAGGTAATCATTTGAAACCAATAAATGAATTAGGAAAATGCTCACTCTTTACTTTCATGGATTGAGATGTTCACTTAGAGATCTCACCTATGCTTCAGTCCAGCCCATTACTACCTTATCCTGTGGAATTCACTTATTTAACATCTTTTCCCTGCTAGACTGTGAGAAACATGAAGGTAAGGACAATATCTGCCTTACTCATCTAGATATTTCCAAAACCTTAGCATAATATCTGGAGCATCTTGGGGACACAATAGTTCTTTGTTAATTGAATGAAGGAATGAAGCTCTGAGCATTCGAGTCTGCTTATAGTAACATGCCTGGGACCTTTCACCTTGTTTCTGTTCTATTTCTAGCCTCCCTCAGAGAGAGAAATTCAGAATTCATAATGATACTCATGACATTCCTTTTCCCCACTTCCCCCCCTTTTCACCCTCACACACAAAGTACAAAGAAAGTACGATAGTTGTCCAAATAATGAACTAAAGAATAGCCAATTTTGTTGCAAAACTTGCTGTTTTTTGTTTTCGTTTTAAATCAAGCAACAGAAAATAACTGGTGTATCTGCCATTTTCAGTAATTTGGCTAAATTGCTGGGGTTTTTGGTCATTATGTTTCCATGTATATCAGTCTTTCATGGAATCCAATTTCAATTTTTGTGTATTCGAGTGTGCCAGGCAGAATAATAGCTCCCAAAGATGTCCATGCTGTAATCCCTGGAAATGTGAATATGCTACCCTACATGGCTAAAGAGACTTTGCAGATGTGATTAAGGGTATGGATTTTGAGATGGGGAGATTACCCTGGATTATCTGTTGGGCCCAGTCTAATCACGTGATTCCTCTAAAAGTGGAGAACCTTTCTTGGCTGTGGTTAGAGAAAGCTGAGACAATGAAAGAAGAATCTGAGAGATGTGACACTGCTGACTTTGAAGATGGAGGAAGGAGGTCATAAGGTAAGAAATGCAGGAGGTGTCTGGAAGGTGGAAAGGGCAAGGAAACAGATTCTCCCTTGAAGCTTCCAGAATGGAACAATGGCCCCACCAACACCATGATTATAGCCAAGTGAGGTCCATGTTCTTCTGACTTACTGAATTGTTAAGATAATAAATTGTGTTCTTTTAAGTCATTAAGTTCATAGTAATTTGTTACAACAATGGAAAACAAGTATAGTGATATTTTAAGTTAAATTCAGGTGAATCTATATGCATAGTTCTAAAGACAGTTTTTCAAATAAAAATATTTATTCAAAAATTATATCTTCACATCAGCTTACTGTTTGGCCAAGTAAATTTAAATACACATGGACTTTAAAAATTGGCACTATTGGTTAAAAGAAAACATAATCAACTAGGCCAGATGGAATTTGAATAGGTAGTACCCTATTCCTGCTACTTTTGGGAGAGATTTTGTTGGAGTCATTATGTATAGTTGCATTAGAAATATATGTGGCTGTGGACAAGTTTTCCTTGACTGAGGATATGGTGAATAGCAGAAGAGGTGTGGGAACTGGAAGGTAACTTGGTATTTGTGGTCAGGTTGGTGAAATATTTGGTGGCTTGTTGATTTTATATATGACTCTTTTAGTCATAATTTCTTGGCAACGTGATAGTATCCTTCATCTGAAGTTTTCTAATATTTTACTTGTTAATATCAACATGGGAATAAAGAGATGAAAACAAGAAACTTGAAGATTAAATAAGTTATAGAAGATTATGGATAAGATTGAGTTAGAGGTTAAACTTTGGTTTCTTATATTTCTATTTTTATTATTTATCTACTAGGTAAAAAAAATAACTGAAAGCTTAAAAAGTTCCAAAGCAATCAATTTTCTAAAAATCTTAATTTTTAAAAAGTATTTTGATTTAAGACATTTTGTAAGATTTCAAGTATTTGAAATAATGCTTTTATCTTCATGTTCAGAAACAATTTATTCTTCTATTTGTCTTATGTACTAATTTCCTGTTACTGGTGTAGCAAAACTCTAAAAATTTGGTGGCTCAAAACACTATTCTTTTAACAGCTCTGGGGGTCAGAAATCTGAAATAAATGTTAGTTGCTAACATCCAGGTGTCAGCAGAACTGGTTTCTGCTGGAGGCTCCAGGTAAGAATCTGTTTCCTGGCCTTTTCCAGCTTCCAGTGGCTGCTCTCCTTCCTTGTCTCGAGCACTTCACTCCGATCTGTTGCTCCCGTCAGCACATTTCCCTCTCCTCTGATTCTGACATTTCCTTCATCTTTTTTATTAGGACCTTTGTGATTACATCAGGCCCATCCAGATATCCAGCATTATCTCCCCATCTCAAAATCCTTAACCGTATCTACAGAAGTCCCTTTTTTTTGCCATATAAGGCAACATTCTGAGGTTTTAGGGATTAGGATGCAGACATATTTGGTGGGCGTGGGGACATTACATAGCCTACCATAGTATAAACAAGAAATCCTAAATGCTCTGAAACCTTTCAGTGCTGTTGTCCTTATCTTTGAAGTCCAGACTTCTCCCTTCAGAAAAGAAGATTCTCTATAAAACATCTCTGGTTGTTATTTCAACCAAGACACAACATGCAATTCACAATTCACAGAATAATAGAGTTGTCAGAGGCTTGAGAAATTATGTATTCCATAGCTTTTTTGAATCAATGAAGAAACAGATTAAAGCTCTTAGATGATTAGCCCAGGTCCACCTATCAAACTTGGAAGTAAAGCAAGGGCCAAAAAAGTACAAAGGGAAACAAGACAATGGAATACAGTACCTATTATGGGCCAGATGCTATATGTTTTGAAAATCTTCTGGGTCAGTTTTATTGCTGTAAGTTTTACAGATACTGAAAGTGAAACTAGGAGACCAGCTGTCTAGGATCACACAGATATTTTGGTAAACTTAATTCTTGTTCACTAATATCCACTACCCCTTCCTTTATTTCCTTTTCCTATTGAACTTAATGTGTGACTATGTGATTTGCTTTAATCAATGAAATATGTCATCTCTAAGCTGAGTTTTTCAGAGCTACCGCTTGCTTTGCCATATTCTTTTTTTCTTGCCACAATGACTGGCAATATTCCAATAAAGGATGCTTTGTTAGCCTGGGTCCCAAAGTGAAATGAACCTGGATACTTGTATATAAATAAACCTGTGCTGTTGTAAGCCACTAAGATCTGGGGGTCATTTGTTACTCCTGTATAACCTAACTTACTCTTCTGAAGCAGTTATTAAATGTCAAGGCCAGAATTTGAACTCGGGTCTGTCTGATTTCAAAGCTCATCATTATGGTTTGAATGTTTGTGCCTCCTTCAAAATTCACATGGAAACTTTATCTTTAATGCAGCAGTTTTAAGAGGTGAGGCCTTTTGGGGGTGATTAGGCCACGAAAGCTTGACCCACATGGATGGGCTTAGTGCCTTGTGAAAGGACTTGGGAGGGTGAGTTCACCCATCCATTTATTCCACCTCTTCCACTATGGGAGGACAGAGTATTCAGTGCTTTTGCCTGTCTGCCTTCTCCCGTGTGAGGATGCAGCCACAAGATGCCATCTTGTAAGTACAGACTGAACCTTCACCAGACTCAAATCCTCCTGTGCCTGGATTTTGAACTTCTCAGCCACCGGAACTGTGAGAAATACATTTCTATTATTTATAAATTACCCAGTCTGTGTTAGTTTGTTATAGCAGCAGGAACAGACTGAGACACCTTTGTTCTAGACTCCAGGCCACTGATTCTTATTTGTTTATTTCACTTCTCCACACTATGAGATACCTATGCATGGAACATATGAGAAAACTATTATATACTATGGATTGATTATCCAAACTTTGTCTTAAACAAGTTTGTAAAGTAGGTGGATATTAACATTTACAAAGGAATATGTCACTACTCTCTTAACATTTTTTAACCACCTATTAGAGTACACTTTATGTCAAGGAAACTGAGCAGTGATAATGAGCTTAGCAAACAGATAAATGGCAATAAGCAATGTTGTACTAACTATGTAGCACATAGTCTTCTAATTGTCTTGTGTATCTTAACTCACCTAATCCTCACAAAACCCCTGTCAAGTATTACTATTCTCATCCAGTGTTTTAGATAAGAAGACAGAGGCTCAAACATTAAATGGTAGCGCTTCCATTAAAACCCACTGTGCTCCCAAACCTTATTCAGCCCATTTTAAATCAATTTGTTAATTTATTCCAGATATTCACAATCAAAACCAACACATTTAATATATAGGGTTTTTAGAACATTGAAATATAAACTAAAATTATATCCCAAATTTTATATTGCAATTTCTGTTTTATTTGGAGCTCCCCACATATGTAGTTTCTCTATAACAAGATATTATTCAATACTAAGTACAAATCAACCAGATTGGTGATTTCAAAGAAATGTCTGTCTGACTTAATTAATACAGTAGCCATAATTAGACGTACAGTTTTCTGTACATCTTTTGCTGTAACTACCCGAGTTTTTTATAACAATTACTCCCATTGTGACCACTTTAAAAAGTCTATATCTATTGCTTCAACTAAAATATAAATAATTCTATCCCACTACTCTCACCCTACTTTCTCCCATTTGTGCCCCTATGATAGCAGACTGACTTGTCATCTCCTCAGCTTTTGTAAGGAGATAATAATTTTTTTAAATGTATTAGATCTGAAATTCTAGCACTGTGCAAGTCAAGGCCCTGTCATGAGAGATGATTTATGTATTGTTTTAGTTTTGCCAAATCGATTCTGAATGAGCTGCTGAAACACCTGCCTGAAAGTGTGGAACTTACAAGATAGTTTTTCTGAAGCTGATCAACCTAACTGTGTAGCACCATAAAAAATTTAAAATGTATTCTCTTCATTGATCCCATAAACATAACACATTGCTTTGAAAACATGTCCTCTTTTTTAGCTGTTGACTATTATTAGTAATGAACAGCTGCATTTCTATTTCCTGTGTCTTATGGATGTCATCTAATGGAGACCTTGCATGATTATGTAAGTTATCAGTAATATGAAAGTCACTATTTATGATATGAATATGATCTCCTCTTAAATCACTCATTAGTTCTTTTACTGTTAATGCTAAAAACCTTTAGCATTCTAGTTTCTACATAATATTTTGACATACCTATTTCTGCTACTTATTGAAGCTATGTTAAAGTACAATTCTAAGTGTTCACAATGTACAATCAGGAGCATTTATCAGAGGAGTGGTCTATTGAAAAATCATTAAAACATTTAGGGATTAATCTTTTCAATAATCCCCCTGCACTTCCCACCCCTCACCTACCTAAGACCTTATTGAGCCTCAGGTATTAGAAAGAAACAAGTAAGTACATGATATTTGCTAAAAATGGGAAGATAGGGAATAAAGGCTAGAAATACAGCATTTTGAATTTCAAAAATAATTTGGTATATACTTGGTCTAAAATTTAAGCTGAATTGCCCATGTAACAAACCTACCCAAGTACCCCTTCAACCTAAAATAGAAGTTGAAAAGTTAAAAAAAATCTATGGTTTAAATTTAAACAAATTTTTTTTGTGAGTACATTGTGAGTGTGTGTATTTATGGGAAACGAGATGTCTGGATACAGGCATGCAGGGTGAAATAAGCACATCATGGGAAATAGGGTATCAATCCCCTCAAACATTTATCCTTCGATTTACAATCCAATTACACTCTTTAAGTTATTTAAACTGTACAATTAAGTTATTATTGACTATAGTCACCTTATCATGCTATCAAATAGTAGGTCTTATTCATTTTTTCTATGTTTTTGGACCCATTAACCATCCCCACTTTCCCCCAAGAGCCCCCAGCTACTGTATTAATTAAGTCAGACAGATATTTCTTTGAAATCATACCCTCCCCAGCCTCTGGTAACATCCTTCTACTTTCTAGGTCCATAAGTTCAATTGGTTTGATTTTTAGATCCCACAGATAAGTGAGAACATGTGATGTTTGTTTTTCTGTGCCTGGCTTATTTCACTTAACATAGTGATCTTCAGTTCCATCCATGTTGCTGCAAATGACTGGATCTCATTCTTTTTTAATGTCTAAAGTACTCCATTGTGCATATGTACCACATTTTCTTTATCCATTTATCTCTTAATGGATACTTAGGTTGCTTCCAATCTTAGCTATTTTAAACCGTGCTGCAACAAACACAGGAGTGTGGATATCTGTTCGATATACTGATTTCCTTTCTTTTGGGCATATACCCAGCAGTGGAATTGTGGGATCATATGGTAGCTCAATTTTCAGTTTCTTATAAAACCTCTAAACTTTTCTCCCTAGTGCTCATACTAATCTACATACCCACCAACAGTATACAAGGGGTTTCCTTTCCCCACATCCTTGCTAACATTTGTTATTTCCTGTGTTTTGAATATAAGCTATTTAAAATGATATCTCACTGTAGTTTTGATTTACATTTCTCTGATGATCAGTGATGCTGAGCGCCTTTTCATATGCCTGTTTGCCATTTGTATGTCTACTTTTAAGAAATGTCTATTCAAATCTTTTGCCCAATTTTTGATCAATTATTAGATTTTTTTTCTATAGAGTTGTTTGAGCTCCTTATATATTCTGGTTATTAATCCATCATCAGATGGGAAGTTTGCAAGTATTTTCTCCCATCCTGTAAGCAAGAAATCTTTGCCCAGACCAATGCCCTGAAGATTTTCCCCAATGTTTTCTTGTAGTAATTTTATAGTACAAGATCTTAGCTATAAGTCTTTAATCCATTTTGACTTTAGTTTTGTACACGGTAATAGATGGGGTCTACTTTCATTCTTCTGCACATGGATACTCAATTTTCCCAGAAGCATTTATTGATGAGACTGTCTTTCCCCCAGTGTATGTTCTCAGTAGCTTTGTCAAAAATGAGTTCACCTTAGGTGTGTAGATTTGTCTCTGGGTTCTCTATTCTGTTCCATTGGTCTATGTGTCTGTTTTTATGCAAGAACCATCCTGTTATGGTTATTATAGCTTTCTAGTATAATTTGAAGTTAGGTAATGTTATTTCTCCAGTTTGTTCTTTTGCTTAGGATAGCTGTGGCTATTCTGGATCTTTTGCGGTTCTATATAAATTTTAGAATTTTTATTTTCTACTTTTGCAAAGAATGTCATTGGTGGCTGGGCGCGGTGCCTCACGCCTGTAATCCCAGCACTTCGGGAGGCCGAGGCGGGTGGATCACGAGGTCAGAAGATCAAGACCATCCTGGCTAACACGGTGAAATCCCGTCTCTACTAAAAATACAAAAAATTAGCTGGGTGTGGTGGCGGGCACCTGTAGTCCCAGTTACTCCGGAGGCTGAGGCAGGAGAATGGCGTGAACCTGGGAGGCGGAGCTTGCAGTGAGCCGAGATCGTGCCACTGCACTCCAGCCTGGGCAACAAAGAGAGACTGTCTCAAAAAAATAAATAAATAAATAAATAAATAAATAAATAAATAAATAAATAAATAAATAAAAATGTCATTGGTATTTTCACAGAGATTGCATTGAATCTGTAGATTGCTTTGGGTAGTATGGACATTTTAACAATATTGATTCTTCTAATTCATGAACATGGAACATTTTTCCATTTTTTGATGTTTGCTTCAATTTCTTTCATCAGTATTTTATGGTTTTCATCATAGAGATCTTTCACTTCTTTGGTTAAGTTAATTCCTAGGTATTTAATTTGATGTGTGGCTACTCTAAATGAGATTACTTTTTAAATTTCTTTTTGAAATCATTCACTGTTGGCATATAGATATGCTATGAATTTTTGTATGTTGATTTTGTATCCTGGAATTTTACTAAATTTATCAGTTTGAGTAGTTTTCCTGTAGAGTATTTTAGGTTTTCTCCAAATATAAGACTATGTCATCTGCAAACAAGGATAATTTGACTTTTTCCTTTCCAATTTGGATGCACTTTATTGCCTTCTTTTGTCTGATTGCTCTGTCTAGGACTTCCAGTACTATGTTAAATAACAGTGGTGGCAGTAGGCATCCGTGTCAAGATCCACATCTTAGAGGAAAGGCTTTTAGTTTTTCCCCAATCAGGATGACACTAGCTTTGGGTCTGTCATATGTGGCTTTTATTATATTGAGGTATGTTCCTTCTATCCTCCGTTTTTTGAGTTTTTATCATGAAGGGATGTCGAATTTTATCAAATGATTTTTTAACATCAATTGAAATGATTATATCATTCTTATCCTTCATTCTGTTAATATTATGTATTACAATGATTGAATTACATATGCTGAGCTATCCCTCCATCCCACAGATAAATCCCATTTGATCATGATGAATAATCTTTCTAATATATTGGTGAATTCAGTTTGCTAGTATTTTGTTGAGGATTTCTGCATCTATATTCATCAGAGATAGTGGCCTTAGGTTTTTTTTTTTAATATGCCTTTGTCTGATTTTGGTATGAGGGTAATACTGACCTTATAGAATGAGTTTGGAAGTATTCTCTCATCTATTTTTTTGAATAGTCTGAGTAAGATTGGTATTCTTATTCCAATAAGAATAAGAATTGGAATTTCTCATTCTTATAAGAAAGAATATAAATATTTGGTAGAATTATTTAAATTCTTTAAATATTTGGTAGAATTCAGAAGTGAAGCCATCAGATCCTGGGCTCTTCTTTAATGGGAGGCTTTTTATTACAGCTTTGATCTTGTTACTTGTTATAGGTCTGCTTAGGTATTGGATTTCTTCCTGGTTCACTTTTGGTAGGCTGTATGTGTCTAGGAATTTGCCTATTTCTTCTAGATTTTTCAATTTATCACATGCTTCTTTGAATTTCTGCATTATCAGTTGTAAAGTCTCCTTTTTCATTTCTAATTTTATTTATTTGGACATTCTCTTTTTTTCTTAATGTGACTTAAGTTTTTTCCATTTTCTTTAATTTTTTAAAAAAACAACTTTTTGTTGCATTAATCTTTTGTATTTGTTTAATTTCAATTTCATTTATGCTCTGATCTTTATTATTTCTTTTCTTCTACTAATTTTGGGTTTGGTTTACTCTTGCTTTTCTAGTTGTTTAAAATGCACCATTAAATTGTTCATTTGAAGTTTTTCCTGTATTTCAATGTTGGCACTTACAGCTATAAATTTCCCCCTTAGTACTGCTTTTGCTAAATCCCATAGGTTTTGTATGTTGTGTTTCCATTATCATTTGTTTCAAAAATGTTTTCAATTTCCTTCTTAATTTCTTTATTGACCCACTGGTCATTCAGGAACACATTGCTGAACTTCCATGTATTTGTATAGTTTCAAAAATTCCCTTGTTATTAATTTCTAGTTTTATTCTATTGTAGTCAAAGAAGATACTTGATATTATTTCAATTTTTTAAAATGTTTTAAGACTGGTTTTGTGACCTAACAAATGGTCTGTCCTTGAGAATGATCCATGTGCTGAGGAAAAGAATGTGTATTCTGCCACTTTCGGATGAAATGTTTTGTAATTATATATTAGATCCATTTGGTCCATTATGCAGATTAAGTCTGATGTTTCTTTGTTGACTTTTTTGTCTGGAAGATTTGTCCAATGCTGAAAGTGGGGTATTGAAGTCTCCAGCTATTATTGTATTGGGGTCTATCTCTCTTTAGCTCTAATAATATTTGCTTTATATATCTTGGTGCTCCAGAGTTGAGTGCATATATGTTTAAAATTGTTATACCCTCATGTTGAATTGACCTCTTTATCTTTATATAGTGACCTTCTTTGTCTCTTCTTATAGTTTTTGTGTGTTGAAATCTATTTTGTCTGATGTAAGTACAGTGCTTCCTGCTCTTTTTTTTTTTTTTTTTTTTTTTTGAGATGGAGTCTCGCTCTGTCACCCAGACTGGAGTGCAGTGGCGCGATCTTGGCTCAGTGCAAGCTTGGCCTCCTGGGTTCACACCATTCTTCTGCCTCAGCCTCCCAAGTAGCTGGGACTACAAGAGCTCCTGCTCTTTTTAAAAAAAATTTCCATTAGCATGGAATATCTTTTCCATCCTTTTATTTTTAATCCAGGTATGTTTCTTGTAGGCAACAGATCAACGGGTCTTGTTTTTTCATTCATTCAGCCAGACTATGTCTTTTCACTGGAGAGTTTAGTCCCTATACATTCAATTTTATTATTGATAAGTAAGGACTTACTCCTTCCATTTTGTTATTTGTTTTCTAGTTGTTTCATGGCCTTCTCTTTCTTCTTCTTTTCCTTCCTATCTTTCTTTAGTGAAGGTGATTTTCTCTAGTGATATAATTTAGTTTATTGCTTTTTATTTTTTGTGTGTCCACTATATGTTTTTTGTATATCCATGTGCATATCTTTTTATTTTTTATGTATCCATTGTATGGTTTGAGGTTACCATGAGGCAACTAAAAATACAAAAATTAGCCAGGCATGGTGGTGGGCACCTGTGATCCCAGCTACTTGGGAGGCTGACACAGGGAATTGCTTGAACCAGGGAGGTGGAGGTTGCAGTGAGCCAAGATCATGCCACTGCACTCCAGCCTGGGTGTCAAAGTGAGACTCCATCTCAAAAAAAAAAAAAAAAGGCTCTAATGCAGTCTTCAGTATGCCAGTTGCAATTTTCAGCTCCAGAATTTCTGCTTAATTCCTTTTAATTATGTCAATGTCTTTGTTAAATTTATCTGGATACAATTCTGTATTCCTTCTCTGTGTTATCTTGAATCTCTTTGAGTTTCCCCAGCACAGCTCTTTTGAATTCTTTGTCTGAACAGTTACATATTTCTGTTTTTCCAGGATTGGTCCTTGGTACTGTATTTAGTTCCTTTGGCAATGTCATATTTTCCTAGATGGTGTTGGTGCTAGTGATGTTTTTTGGTGTTCAGGCATTGATCAGTTAGGTATTTATTGAAGTCTTTACTGTCTGAGCTTTTTGGGAATGCTTTCCAGATATTCGAAAGGACTTGGGTGTTGTGATCTAAACTGTATCTGCTCTAGGTGGCACCCTAAGTCCAGTAATGCTGTAGTTCTTGCAGACTCACAGAGTTACTGCCTTGATGGTTTTGGACAAGATTTGGGAGAATTCTCTAGATTACCAGATAGAGACTCTTGTTCTCTTCCCTTACTTTCTCCCTAATATACAGAGTCTCTGACTCTGTTCTGAGCCACCTAAAGCTGGGGGTAGAGTGACAAAAGCACCCCTGTAACCACCACTATAATGACCTAAAACCAGCACTGCACTGAGTCTTGCCCAAGGCCTGCTGTAACCACTCCCTGATTATTACCTATGTTCACTCAAGGCCCTGGGGCTCTGCAATCATCAGATGGCAAAGCCAGCAGCCTGTGTCCTTCCTTTCAGGGTGTTGAGGTCCTCCAAGCCCCAGCTGTGTCCAGAAGTGCTGTCCAGGATCAGGGACTAGAGTGAGAAACCTTAGAAATCTGCCTGGTGTTCTATTGTATTGTGACTGAGCTGACACACAAACCACAAGAAAGAGTCCTCCCCAGTCTTCCCTCCCCTAGGTGGAGGAGCCTTACCCCTAGCCACCACCAACACAGGCCACAAGGAGTACTGCCAGACTATGGCAGATGTTCCCTGAAGGTTCAAGATCTCTTATGTCAGCTTGTTATGAATACTGCCTGGCCTAGGACTCACTCTTCAGGGCAGTGGACTTCCTTCTGGCCCAAGGCAGGTCCAGAAATGCCATTCAAGAGCCAACTCTTGGAACTAGGGACCCCAAGAGCTTGGTTGGTGCTTTATCCCACTGTGTCTGTGTTGGTACCTAAGGTGCAAGACAAAGTTTTCTTTACTTTTCCCCCCTGCTTTTCTCAAGCAAGAGTTTTACCCCATAGCCACCATAGCTAGTAATGTGCTGAATCTCACCTGAAACCTAGCAAATCTCAGAGGCTCACCTAAGGCCCTTGATGTAGTACCTGTGTATTGCTGCTTGTTATTCTGGGATCAAGGGCTCTTCAGTTAGCAGATGATGGATGCTGGAAGAACTGGGTCTTTTCAAGGCAGTGGGTTCCCAAGCCATGCCTACAAACGCCATCTGGGAGCTAGGGCCTGGAACAAGGGGCTCAGGAATCTGACCGGTGCCCTATCCTGCTGTGGCTGAGTTAATATCCAAGATGCAAGACAAACTTCTGCCCACTCTTCTTTCTCCTCTCCTCAAGTGGAAGGAAGGGGTCTGTTTTAGAATCATGAGCTGTGCAGTCTGGGCTAAGGGAAGGGTGATGCCAGGACTCCCTTGGCTGCCCTAGCCCTAGTGTCTCAGTATGTTGCATGCTCCCTCAGTCCACTGTCTCTGGGTCTAGTTCAGTGCTGAGACTTGCCTAAGAGTTGCAGTCCTTATGGCCTAGGCTGCTTTTCAAGCTTACTTGGAGACACAGAGTGCTGTAGCCTTTGATGATGAGGTTTGCAGGACTCAAGTTCAGACCACTTGGATCCAAGATTCCCTTCTGGCTATGGTTGGTTTAAAAGCTCCCTCCGGCCGGGCGCGGTGGCTCACGCCTGTAGTCCCAGCACTTTGGGAGGCCGAGGCGGGCGGATCACGAGGTCAGGAGATCGACACCATCCCGGCTAAAACGGTGAAACCCCGTCTCTACTAAAAATACAAAAAATTAGCCGGGCGTAGTGGCGGGCGCCTGTAGTCCCAGCTACTTGGGAGGCTGAGGCAGGAGAATGGCATGAACCTGGGAGGCGGAGCTTGCAGTGAGCCGAGATCCCGCCACTGCACTCCAGCCTGGGCGACAAAGCGAGACTCCGTCTCAAAAAAAAAAAAAAAAAAAAAAGCTCCCTCCGTGGTCCAGCATCGGGTAGTTTGTTCTGGTTTTTCTTTTTGCTCTAAAAGAACAGCACTGAGTTTAATGCCTCATCGTTGCTGTGATCTCCCTCCCCCAGCACCCACAGATGCTCTTGGCACTCGGCTGCCACTACCAAAGGTTGGAGAGGGGTGGCCATGGGGTTTCAGAACTGTCTTTTCTATCATCTCTTCAGTGCCTCTTTCAGCGATATGAAGTTAAAACCAGGTACTGCGAGTGCACACCTGATTTCTTTTTCTTTTAAAGGTGTTTTTGTTTTGTTTTGTTTTGTTTTGTTTCCTGTGTAGGTAGCTGTTAATTTGGTATCCTTGCGGGAGAGACGATCATTGGAGCTTTCTATTCCACCATCTTCCTCTGCCACCTCAAAACCCGTGTTTTTTATCAATTGGAAATCTGAATCTCTTTTGCTATCATTTATTTTAAAATTCTAGTAAAGTTACTGATGTTTTCCGGCTCTCTCTATAAAAGCAGAACATAACTAGGGAGACTATTTCTCTATTAGTTGAAGACCCTATATTACATTTCTTAAGCCTTTGCCTATATATATTTTAGCCAATTCCATCAGGGCATCTGGAATTCAAATTTAGAGGAAAAACATTAATGACCCTCTTTTTATTTTCAGAAAGACCAAAGGCATGGTGTGCAACGAAACAGGAAAATGTTTTAATTTGTTGGAACAAATGGTAAAAATCAAGCATAAACTAGGTATACAATTTATGGTTATTTTTGATGTGTGTAATATAGGGACAAATATAGCCTATATTTGACTTTTTCAAATTCAAAATATAGGCTATAATTTCAAAGAAAGGAAAAAAAGGACTTCTAGCTAAAAAGTTTATTTAACCAATACTCATGCCAAAAATTATTTCAAAGAATTTTTGAGCCAAAAACATTTGAAATTTGCTTCATCATAAATATAGTTTAATTCTAATAAAGAGAAAAAATGTGTTAGAGGTATATAGAGATTGTATAAGATTGTGGGCTAAGAGTGGGAACTACCATACAATGACACATAGGTACATATACAGACACACACACACACATACACACATGTATGGACATATATGTATAAATGGTATAGCTATAGATATATACATATATGTACCATGTGTATGTAAATGTATGTATATATATTATTTCTTTTTAATAATGTTGCAAAAATTTTATCCTTTATGTTTATTAAGTGTTTAACATAGTAAATAACCTAATGCTTTTTTACTTTATGGACAACAATATATTTTCACAGTGTGATAACACTTACCAAGTCTATCATGTTATATGTTATTCAAATCATGGCCGTAGAAAATATCCACTTATTAATACATCTGGAACTTCTGTACTCATAATAGTGAATGATACTTTTATATTCTGTAATATTTCTAAATAGAGCATAAACACCTTTTAATATATTCTTGACACTAGAAACTTTCCCACTATGTATAATTTGATAAAACCACAATTTGTTGTTTATTGGGACCCACAGAATGAGTTCCAAATATGTAATAGATAAGTTATATCTTTACTAACAATCAGATGTATACAAAATGTATGTTTCCATCTTCTTTTAAGAAGAAATTATGTTCTTTTAGTTGTAATCTTTTTAAACATGCAGACACATTATCTGATATTCATTTTGGCTTACAAACAAACTGTTCCGATCTTACCACTAAAAACCACCCACAAATCCCACAAGTGATTACATATCTTATGAGAAAAAAAAATACATTGCAATTCCTGCTAATATTACGTAGAAGAAAACTGTGAACCTTAACTTTGCATTATTAAGATATTACAATGCTTTTTAATTAATGTTTGCTGTTAAAAACAGGTTATACTGAAAATTAATTTTAAAAATTCAAATAGAGTCTATCAAAAATCTTTTGAATATACAACCATTCTATTCATCTATTACATGTTTGGGAAACAGTATTATTTATGGGTATGTGTATGTATACAAAAACAAACACAAATGTGTGCACACACATATATCCATTCCAATATATATCTTTTATAAAACAAGGTGAGATATAAATAAATACATAAATACATAAAAATCATCTGAATTAGCACATATACTCAGTACAGATACCACCTAATTTTTTAGTGGTATGTATGACCATGTATTTGACGATCCATTGTAGTCTGCGAAAGAGGAGAACAATATGCTTTTTATATGACATAGAACAGGGAAATGATTGAGGTGAAAATATGTTTTTTATATGATATAGAACAGGGAAACGATTGAGGTGAGAGTGGAACAAGTAGAGAACACAAAAGAAAGATGGATTGTTTCCTGTGCAAGTGTTTCAGGTAAGGAGCAAATTGATGTGTTTAGCCTGGTCCCGGACTGGCTTCCAGATTTGAAACTGTCAAAGAGAAAGTTCTTTGAACAGAATGGTCTCAATAAGCACTTGTGACTATGACTTATCTGCTGAGCTAGGCCACGTGTGCTTGGATGATTTCTTGTACTATTAAGAAAGAAAAAACTATGGTTAAGATGGTAGCACTAAATTCAAACAGTTTCTGAAATAGATTGCTAATCTGGTAAATTGGCATAAGGGTTAGGAATGTTTGGCTTTCCTACCCAGGTACTTTAACTTAATACAGTAGTTGGGACTGTAAATGTTCAATGTCTTTTATTATTACCTTATAAAATGAAATTAAACTTCTTTTGGTCATTGGGGACTTGGAAGCATTTCTTCAAATATTATGTCATTGAAGATACTCAAGTAGAAGTGAAGATCTATTTAAAACTACCCACTTTTTAAATTAACCTTCTTTTAATTTCTATACTAGATTAACCAATGCTCTTCCATTCCTTTGTAAAGAACAATGACTGAGAGGTGCTGCACATATTCTGCTCCTGTGAGGTGAGCAATGTATCCCCAAATGCTTTTTTAAATCAAATATCCATAATTTAAATAAATCTTAACTAAACCAATAAAAATTGAATAATAAAATATTTGTTTCTATGAGAATCAAGTTGAATACCATTTATTAAATAGGTATAATTGAACACATTTTTATCTATACTCTCTCCTAAACTCCTTGACAGTAAAGGATTAAAAGTTATAAGACCATAAAGATAAAGAAACAAGAAAGGAGATAATAGCAGATAAGTATTAACGTAGATACACATATGGTAACTAATTTACAATATTTAAATTCAAGACATCATAACAGAATACCAATAAGAAGCAACTCAACTTATATCGCAGAAATATGCAAAGTTTCAAGAATTTTAAATACCAGACAATTCTGGGAACAGAGGTGACCAGGTAGAGCTGAAAACAGAAGGACTTGTTGGAAGTCTGTAAAAGGAAGGCTACAGATGTAGTTCCCTTTCTTTATCCATTCATTCAGGAAACTACCTTCTTCCCAAATAGGAAGAAGTATAGAGTTTCCAATATGGAGGTACTGAGCCAGACCACTTCTGTGCTCAGGGATGGTAAACACTGCTGTGGACAAACTGAAAGGAATGTTTAAATACACCCACATTACAGTGGCACCCCAGGTCCCATGCCACTTCTGGGCTGACAGATGTTTGTTTACACACTCCAGAAAGGAAATGGGAATAGGACTTTGTACAGAAACCTGAAAAGACACACAGATGCAGACATTCAGGATGCTGCTAGAAAATGTGCAGATGCTCACCTGATCCCCCTACAGTGAAGTGCACGATTTCACATGCTTGTTCTTATTTACAATGCTGCCACATTTGTGTGTGTGTTTCGTTCTTAAATAGGACTTGCTAGGTAGAGATCACAAATATTTAAAGAAAATGTCTCTTGTAAAAGTAGGAGAACAAATAAATGAAAAAATTTAAAAGATTATTAGAGGAAACAGAGACAATTCAAAAATTCAAGAAGAGTTAAAAAAAAGAAAAATTCATCTTCTCCCTGAAGTCAGTAACTACAGAGAGCTGTGAGAAGATACACAATCTATAAAACTAGAATAGAATACTATTGAAAAAGTGACTATATTGGAACAACAAAAATTCTTGAATTTAAGCAATCAAAATAACTGTTGGTAGAGAAACAGCACTGAGGAAACCTCAACGAAAAAAGAACAGAAAGACCAAAGTTTGGGCTATTGTAGAAAAAGGTATAGGAAATTAGAGGGTTAATCCACAAGTTTCTATATTTGACCAATAGAATTCTGGCAAAAATGAAATAGGGAGAACAGAAAAGAGAAAATGACGAAAGAAAGAGCGTAAAATTCAGTGCCAGAATTAATAAAAGGCTTATATCAAGGCATACCTTCAGGGAATTTTAGAACTATCACCTAATGAGAAGATTCGAGAAGCTTCTAGAGAGAGAGGAGGAAAGAAGCCACGTACAAAGGTTTGAAAATAAGAATGTCATTAGGTTTCACAATTGCAATTCTGGAAGGTGAAAGATCATGCCTTCAAAAATTTGAGTGCAGATGATTTCAATATTAGATTTTTTATCTAACCAAATTATAAATTTAGGTATGGAAAATACAAAAAAAGAGATACAGTTTTAGACTTGCAGAATTTCAAAATGATTTGCCTTTCACATTTCTTTTCAAAAACAATTAATAGAAGATATATTTCATTAAACAAGGGAATAAATACAAAATAGGAGAGAAATGGAATACAAGAAAGAGGACATCTAGCATAAGGGAAGTATGAAGAAATTTCAGAGTCAATAGCTGTGTGTGAGCCTGCAGCATCAGGAGGATAGAGAGCTTCAGGAGACACAGCGCTAAGAAGACATCAGAACTCAGACAGATGTGTTTAACTGCAGTAAGAGGTGTTTTATAACTCAGTGGGAGAGATTGGAATAGATTACTGATGGATATATAGAAAACTAAGTCAAAACAAACAATAAAAACCTAGACTAAAGTAAACTCCAAGAAAAGCAAAAAGATATCTGAGAAAGGGAAAATAATTATTTCATATTCTAAAACTCTTCTATAAATGAATGAAAATCTGTGTGCAGGATATTCATTTAACCGAAAGGTGTCTATATTGGGTGAACTGGAAATCTGATGTGTATATGTGATTGTGTGTAGAATTGAAAGGCTGGTGGTAGAAGAAACCTGAAGTGTAGCTTAATCATTCATATTAAAAAGTTTCATAGATAATATATATTTTTAAAGAGTGGTGAAAGTAGTTGCCTTTGTGAAGTGGGAATCAGGGATTGGAAGGGATAAAACATGTCAGCTGATTTTACTCACAAGCAGATGATTCACATTCTTAAACTTCTTAAGCTATGCACATATGTGTTTTTGATAAAAATTTAAAAATTCAAAGCAATATTCAAATTATCTGTCTAATCTACCTAGTCATAGTTTAATTGTGAACTCATCAAGGATATAGGACAGCTTCTCTGATTTGTAAAATTCCTGGTATGTGCACCAGTCATACATAGCAAAAGGAAGTTCACACATGATGTGTGTGCATGCACACACATGTGTACACATGCCCCCAAACCAAGTTGAAAGCTTTGAATAAACTTAATACATGTAATCACATTAAAAAATCACTATAGAATGAGATATTAGAAAAACAATTAAAAATTATAAGCAGGCATGTGAAGTCCCAGTTGGATTCTGCATTTGGGTTGCTTTGTAAGTATATTTGTGTTAATGCTCTAGTTCAAAGAATCAAAACTGGAAATGGTTATGTATTTATGATGGGTGTGGTTTATGCTGGACAAATGATATAAATCTCCAATCAATGGACCTATTCAGAAAAAAGACACATGGACTAACATGAGGGGAAGCCATGTATAGCTGAGTGCTTTACATTAAAAGAACAAGTTTAAAGTTTGTAATTTCTTTTTCAAAAAAGATTATTTTCCTCTGTCACAACCTTTCTGTGATTAACTGACCAACAACTGGCCTTGACTGAGTTGGATAAGAGGGTGTCTGCAGTAATCATAAAGAGCCAGGAGAGCTCTTGAGAGAGAAGCAACATGATAACAGCTCTTCTTACAAGTTTTGGAGAGCAGTTGTCCTGTCTTTCATCCCACTTTTCAGTACAGATTGGAAAAACAAAAGAAAACGCCTATTTCCAATTGCAAGTTCCTTCTTAATTTAGCATCTGAGGATAGGATAAGTCTGTCTTTCCTTCTCTTAGGGGAAGAATCTTCCTTCAAACAATCAGTCTGGCCAGGCACCTAGCACTTTTCTATCTCAGCTTCACTTGATAACAAGGATGTTGAATCCCTCCCTAAATGCAGCTCAGCTCTATGTACAAAGGATGAGGACAGCTAAACACTCACCTACTTTGTTCTCTAAAGCAGCCTCTCCCCATTTTTTGAGGGAGATTTCCTATAACATTTGTTTTCCAGTCTAAATCACAAATTCTTCAAAGACAAGGACGTTGTTTAATATCATATCTTTTTTTATCTTTCTTTCCTATTTCTTTTTCTTCTGTCTTTTGCCAAATGTGCTACCTACTTACTAATTGCTTGATAAATTTTGGCAAAAAGAGGGAGGTGCTCATAACTTTGCCTTGAAATTGGCAATGAGATTGTGTTCTTCCAATTACTTTGAACTTTCTCTTTCTGAAGTTTCACTCTTGTAAGACTCACTGGAAACTATTGTCATAAAATTAGGAGAGTTTGGCATAATTTGGAAATGTTTCAATAACTGAAAATGGCATTTGAGCAAAGAACCAAGAAGTGAAGCACAGGACTGTTGCTGTTCATGTAAGGTAGATGTTTTCTCCTAAAATTTTAATGTTCTGTTCTTTGCAGATATTTGTAGTACATATACATTATAATAAAATATTTTTAATTTCTCTCTCCTGTTCTTTATAATATTACTGTATAATATTACTGTTAATTCATTTCACTTTACCATGCACTGTAGTAATCACAGTGGGTAGTAATCACCCACTACCTTGGTGATATATTGCTACTTTAAATTAACATATTATTATATTACTACATTAAACCATTATCTTTTAATTCAATTTAGGAATAAGAAAAATAAAATGTTTTATTTTGCTTTCATTTATTCATTCTCTAATGCTTTTCTGTATGTACACCCATTTATGACTTATATCTTTGCTTTTATACATGAAGAGATTTTTAACATTTTTTTTTGCAAGGCTGGTCTGCTGGTAATACATTTCTTTGGTTCTTATTTGTGTGAGAAATTCTTTATTTCTCATTTACTTTTGAAAATGCGTTGGATATAGAATTCAAGATTGGTGGTGTTTATCTTTCAGTACTTTAAATATTTAATTCCACTATCTTCTTTCTTCCATGGTTTTAAATGAGAAGTTCCCTGTTATTTTTGTCTCTCTATATGTAAGGTATCTTCTTTTCCTCCTCCTGCTTATTTCAAGATGTGCTCTTTGTCTTTGGTTTTCTGCACTTTTAATGTGATATGCCTAGGTGCAGTTTTTTTGGTATTTTTTTCTATTTGATGTTATCTGAGTATGTATATTACATCTTTGAAATAGTCTCAATTAGATATTCTGTCTTCTTTTCTTTTCCATCCTTTCTTTTTTCCCCTTGCATTTCAGTTTGGGAAGTTTCTACTGCTCTTTCTTGAAGATTACTTGTCCTGTCTACTGATAAACCCATCAAAGGTGTTATTCATTTCTGTTTCATGCTTTCTATTTCTAGCATTTTCTTTTTTAGCTAAAACTTATAAAACATACAATTAATCATTTTAAAATGTACAATTTAGTAACATTAAATATATTTATAATGTGCAACCACTACCTCTCTCTAGTTTCAAAACATTTTCATCACCACGGGAAAATGCTCCATAGCCATTAAATAATCACTCCTCGTTTCACCTTACCCTCATTCCCTGATAACCACTAACTTTTTTGCTCTCTTTATAGATTTGCCTATGCTAGATATAGTATATAAAAGTGATGATGGAATATGTAATTATTAACTTACTGCTTCTTTCACTTAGTATAATATTTTTTGAGGTTCATCCAATTTATAGCATGTATCTGTACTTCATTCCTTTTATGGCTGAATGATAATCCACTGTATGCATATAACACAATTTGTTTATCCATTCATCTTTTGATGGACATTTTGGTTGTTTCTGCCTTTTGGCTATTATGAATAATACTGCTGTAAACATTCATTTACAAATTTCTGTGTGGACATATGTTTACATTTCTCTTCAGTATATACCTAAGAATGAAATTGCTGGATCATATGGTAATTCTATGTCTAAATTTTTGAGGTACTACCAAACTGTTTCAACAGTGGCTGCATCATTTTATATTCCTACCAACAATATACACGTGTTATTTCTCTACATTCTTGTCAATACTTGCTATTTTCCACTTTCTAAAATTAAAGCCATCCTAATGAATGTGAAATGACAGTTCACTGTGGTTTTAATTTGCATTTCTTTAATAGCCAATGATGTTGAACATCTTTTCATGTGCTTTTTGGCCATTTGTACTTTTTTTTTCAAGAAATGCTAATTCAAATCCTTTTTCCATTTCTAAATTGTGTTGTTGGTCTTATTGTTGTTTGGTAGCAAGAGTTCTTTATATATTCTGGTATTAAATTCTTTTCTTTTTTTAAAAAAAAATTCCCATTTGTTTCCTGACTTTCATTTTATTTTATTTTATTTTATTATTATTATACTTTGAGTTTTAGGGTACATGTGCACAATGTGCAGGTTAGTTACATATGTATACATGTGCCATGCTGATGCCCTGCACCCATTAACTCGTCATTTAGCATTAGGTATATCTCCCAATGCTATCCCTCCCCCCTCCCCCCACCCCACAACAGTCCCCAGAGTGTGATGTTCCCCTTCCTGTGTCCATGTGTTCTCATTGTTCAATTCCCACCTATGAGTGAGAACATGCGGTGTTTGGTTTTTTTGTCCTTGCGATAGTGTACTGAAAATGATGATTTCCAATTTCATCCATGTCCCTACAAAGGACATGAACTCATCATTTTTTATGGCTGCATAGTATTCCATGGTGTATATGTGCCACATTTTCTTAATCCAGTCTATCATTGTTGGACATTTGGGTTGGTTCCAAGTCTTTGCTATTGTGAATAGTGCCGCAATAAACATACGTGAGCATGTGTCTTTATAGCAGCATGATTTACACTCCTTTGGGTATATAACCAGTAATCAGATGGCTGGGTCAAATGGTATTTCTAGTTCTAGATCCCTGAGGAATCGCCACACTGATTTCCACAATGGTTGAACTAGTTTACAGTCCCACCAATGGTGTAAAAGTGTTCCTATTTCTCCACATCCTCTCCAGCACCTGTTGTTTCCTGACTTTTTAATGATTGCCATTCTAACTGGTGTGAGATGGTATCTCATTGTGGTTTTGACTTGCATTTCTCTGATGGCCAGTGATGGTGAGCATTTCTTCATGTGTTTTTTGGCTGCATAAACGTCTTCTTTTGAGAAGTGTCTGTTCATGTCCTTCGCCCACTTTTTGATGGGGTTGTTTGTTTTTTTCCTGTAAATTTGTTAGAGTTCATTGTAGATTCTGGATATTAGCCCTTTGTCAGATGAGTAGGTTGCGAAGATTTTTTCTCATTTTGTAGGTTGCCTGTTCACTCTGATGGTAGTTTCTTTTGCTGTGCAGAAGCTCTTTAGTTTCATTAGGTCCCATTTGTCAATTTTGGCTTTTGTTGCCATTGCTTTTGGTGTTTTAGATATGAAGTCCTTGCCCATGCCTATGTCCTGAATGGTAATGCCTGGGTTTTCTTCTAGGGTTTTTATGGTTTTAGGTCTAATGTTTAAGTCTTTAACCATCTTGAATTAATTTTTGTATAAGGTGTAAGGAAGGGATCCAGTTTCAGCTTTCTACATATGGCTAGCCAGTTTTCCCAGCACCAGTTGTTAAATAGGGAATCCTTTCCCCATTGCTTGTTTTTCTCAGGTTTGTCAACGATCAGATAGTTGTAGATATGTGGCGTTATTTCTGAGGGCTCTGTTCTGTTCCATTGATCTGTATCTCTGTTTTGGTACCAGTACCATGCTGTTTTGGTTACTGTAGCCTTGTAGTATAGTTTGAAGTCAGGTAGCGTGAAGCCTCCAGCTTTGTTCTTTTGGCTTAGGATTGACTTGGCAATGTGGGCTCTTTTTTGGTTACATATGAACTTTAAAGTAGTTTTTTCCAATTCTGTGAAGAAAGGCATTGGCAGCTTGATGGGGATGGCATTGAATCTATAAATTACCTTGGGCAGTATGGCCATTTTCATGATATTGATTCTTCCTACCTATGAGCATGGAATGTTCTTCCATTTGTTTGTGTCCTCTTATTTCCTTGAGCAGTGGTTTGTAGTTCTCCTTGAAGAGGTCCTTCACGTCCCTTGTAAGTTAGATTCTTAGGTATTTTATTCTCTTTGAAGCAATTGTGAATGGAAGTTCACTCATGATTTGGCTCTCTGTTTGTCTATTATTGGTGTATAAGAATGCTTGTGATTTTTGTACATTGATTTTGCATCCTGAGATTTTGCTGAAGTTGCCTATCTGCTTAAAGAGATTTTGGGCTGAGACAATGGGGTTTTCTAGATATACAATCATGTCATCTGCAAACAGGGACAATTTGACTTCCTCTTTTCCTAATTGAACACCCTTTATTTCCTTCTCTTGCTTGATTGCACTGGCCAGAACTTCCAACACTATGTTGAATAGGAGTGGTGAGAGAGGGCATCCCTGTCTTGTGCCAGTTTTCAAAGGGAATGCTTCCAGTTTTACCCATTCAGTATGATATTGGCTGTGGGTTTGTCATAAATAGCTCTTATTATTTTGAGATATATCCCATCAATACCTAATTTATTGAGAGTTTTTAGCATGAAGCGTTGTTGAATTTTGTCAAAGGCCTTTTCTGCTTCTATTGAGATAATCATGTGGTTTTTGTCTTTGGTTCTGTTTATATGCTGGGTTACATTTATTGATTTGTGTATATTGAACCAGCCTTGCATTCCAGGGATGAAGCCCACTTGATCATGGTGGATAAGCTTTTTGATGTGCTGCTGGATTCGGATTGCCAGTATTTTATTGAGGATTTTTGCATCAATGTTCATCAAGGATATTGGTCTAAAATTCTCTTTTTTGGTTGTGTCTCTGCCTGGCTTTGGTATCAGGATGATGCTGACCTCATAAAACGAGTTAGGGAGGATTCTCTCTTTTTCTGTTGATTGGAATAGTTTCAGAAGGAATGGTACCAGTTCCTCCTTGTACCTCTGGTAGAATTCGGCTGTGAATCCATCTGGTCCTGGACTCTTTTTGGTTGGTAAGCCATTGATTATTGCCACAATGTCAGAGCCTGTTATTGGTCTATTCAGAGATTCAACTTCTTCCTGGTTTAGTCTTGGGAGGGTGTATGTGTCGAGGAATTTATCCATTTCTTCTAGATTTTCTAGTTTATTTGCGTAGAGGTGTTTGTAGTATTCTCTGACGGTAGTTTGTATTTCTGTGGGATCGGTGGTGATAGCCCCTTTATCATTTTTTATTGCGTGTATTTGATTCTTCTCTCCTTTCTTCTTTATTAGTCTTGCTAGTGGTCTATCAATTTTGTTGATCCTTTCAAAAGACTAGGTCCTGGATTCATTAATTTTTTGAAGGGTTTTTTATGTCTCTATTTCCTTCAGTTCTGCTCTGATTTTAGTTATTTCTTGCCTTCTGCTAGCTTTTGAATGTGTTTGCTCTTGTTTTTCTAGTTCTTTTAATTGTGATGTTAGGGTGTCAATTTTGGATCTTTCCTGCTTTCTCTTGTGGGCATTTAGTGCTGTAAATTTCCTTCTGCACACTGCTTTGAATGTGTCCCAGAGATTCCGGTATGTTGTATCTTTGTTCTCGATGGTTTCAAAAAACATCTTTATTTCTGCCTTCATTTCGTTATGTACTCAGTAGTCATTCAGGAGCAGGTTGTTCAGTTTCCATATAGTTGAGCGGTTTTGAGTGAATTTCTTAATCCTGAGTTCTAGTTTGATTGCACTGTGGTCTGAGAGACAGTTTGTTATAATTTCTGTTCTTTTACATTTGCTGAGGAGAGCTTTACTTCCAACTATGTGGTCAATTTCGGAATAGGTGTGGTGTGGTGCTGAAAAAAATGTATATTCTGTTGATTTGGGGTAGGGAGTTCTGTAGATGTCTATTAGGTCTGCTTGGTGCAGAGCTGAGTTCAATTCCTGGATATCTTTGTTAACTTTCTGTCTCGTTGATCTGTCTAATGTTGACAGTGGGGTGTTAAAGTCTCCCATTATTACTGTGTGGGAGTCTAAGTCTCTTTGTAGGTCACTAAGGACTTGCTTTATGAATCTGGGTGCTCCTGTATTGGGTGCATATATATTTAGGATAGTTAGTTCTTCTTGTTGAATTGATCCCTTTACCATTATGTAATGGCCTTGTCTCTTTTGATCTTTGTTGGTTTAAAGTCTGTTTTATCA
Source organism: Homo sapiens (assembly GCF_000001405.40). Classification (NCBI taxonomy): domain Eukaryota; kingdom Metazoa; phylum Chordata; class Mammalia; order Primates; family Hominidae; genus Homo; species Homo sapiens. Next base: position 111,150,846 of record NC_000004.12, read on the forward strand.
GAGACTAGGATTGCAACCCCTGCCTTTTTTTGTTTTCCATTTGCTTGGTAGATCTTCCTCCATCTTTTTATTTTGAGCCTTTGTGTGTCTCTATACATCAGATGGGTTTCCTGAATACAGCACACTGATGGATCTTGACTCTTTATCCAATTTGCCAGTCTGTGTCTTTTAATTGGAGCATTTAGTCCATTTACATTTAAAGTTAATATTGTTATGTGTGAATTTGATCCTGTCATTATGATGTTATCTGGTTATTTTGCTCATTGGTTGATGCAGTTTCTTCCTAGCCTGGATGGTCTTTACAATTTGGCATGATTTTGCAGTGGCTGGTACCGGTTGTTCCTTTCCATGTTTAGTGCTTTCTTCAGGAGCTCTTGTAGGGCAGGCCTGGTGGTGACTAAATCTCTCAGCATTTGCTTGTCTGTAAAGCATTTTATTTCTCCTTCACTTATGAAGCTTAGTTTGTCTGGATATGAAATTCTGGGTTGAAAATTCTTTTCTTTAAGAATGTTGTATATTGGTGCCCACTCTCTTCTGGCTTGTAGAGTTTCTGCTGAGGGATCAGCTGTTACTCTCATGGGCTTCCCTTTGTGGGTAACCCGACCTTTCTCTCTGGCTGCCCTTAACATTTTTTCCTTCATTTCAACTTTGGTGAATCTGACAATTATATGTCTTGGAGTTGCTCTTCTCAAGGAGTATCTTTGTGGCGTTCTCTGTATTTCCTGAATCTGAATGTTGGCCTGCCTTGCTAGATTGGGTAAGTTCTCCTGGATAATATCCTGCAGAGTGTTTTCCAACTTGGTTCCATTCTCCCCGTCGCTTTCAGGTACACCAATCAGATGCAGATTTGGTCTTTTCACATAGTCCCATATTTCTTGGAGGCTTTGTTCATTTCTTTTTATTCTTTTTTCTCTAAACTTCCCTTCTCACTTCATTTCATTCATTTGATCTTCCATCACTGATACCCTTTCTTCCAGTTGATTGCAGTGGATCCTGAGGCTTCTGCATTCTTCACATGGTTCTCGAGCCTTGGCTTTCAGCTCCATCAGCTCGTTTAAGCACTTCTCTGTATTTCTGTAATGGTTATTCTAGTTATACATTCGTCTAAATATTTTTCAAAGTTTTTAACTTCTTTGCCTTTGGTTTGAATGTCCTCCTGTAGCTTGGAGTAGTTTGATTGTCTGAAGCCTTCTTCTCTCAACTCGTCAAAGTCATTCTCCATCCAGCTTTGTTCCATTGCTGGTGAGGAACTGCGTTCCTTTGGAGGAGGAGAGGTGCTCTGCTTTTTAGAGTTTCCAGTTTTTCTGCTCTGTTTTTTCCCCATCTTTGTGGTTTTATCTACTTTTGGTCTTTGATGATGGTGATGTACAGATGGGTTTTTGGTGTGGATGTCCTTTCTGTTTGTTAGTTTTCCTTCTAACAGACAGGACCCTCAGCTGCAGGTCTGTTGGAGTTTGCTAGAGGTCCACTCCAGACCCTGTTTGCCTGGGTACCAGCAGCGGTGGCTGCAGAATAGCGGATTTTCATGAACTGTGAATGCTGCTGTCTGATCGTTCCTCTGGAAGTTTTGTCTCAGAGGAGTACCAGGCCGTGTGAGGTGTCAGTTTGCCCCTACTTGGGGGTGGCTCCCAGTTAGGCTGCTCAGGGGTCAGGGGTCAGGGACCCACTTGAGGAGGCAGTCTGCCTGTTCTCAGATCTCCAGCTGCGTGCTGGGAGAACCACTGCTCTCTTCAAAGCTGTCAGACAGGGACATTTAAGTCTGCAGAGGTTACTGCTGTCTTTTTGTTTGTCTGTGCCCTGCCCCCAGAGGTGGAGCCTACAGAGGCAGGCAGGCCTCCTTTAGCTGTGGTGGGCTCCACCCAGTTCGAGCTTCCCAGCTGCTTTGTTTACCTAAGCAAGACTGGGCAATGGCGAGCGCCCCTCCCCCAGCCTCGCTGCCGCCTTGCAGTTTGATCTCAGACTGCTGTGCTAGCAATCAGTGAGACTCCTTGGGCATGGGACCCTCCAAGCCAGGTGCGGGATATAATCTCCTGGTGCACTGTTTTTTAAGCCCGTCAGAAAAGCGCAGTATTAGGATGGAGTGACCCGATTTTCCAGGTGCCGTCTGTCACCCCTTTCTTTGACTAGGAAAGGGAACTCCCTGACCCCTTGTGCTTCCCGAGTGAGGCAATGCCTCGCCCTGCTTCGGCTCGCGCACAGTGCGCTGCACCTACTGTCCTGCGCCCACTGTCTGGCACTCCCTAGTGAGATGAACCCGGTACCTCAGATGGAAATGCAGAAATCACCCGTCTTCTGCGGCGCTCACACTGGGAGCTGTAGACCGGAGCTGTTCCTATTCGGCCATCTTTGTTGCCAGCCTCATATTCTGGTATTAAATTCTTAACAAATTTATGACTTGAAAAATTTTCCTCCATTCTCTAGGTTCCTTTTCAGATTCTTGATAAACTTTTTTGATAAATAAAAGTTTTTAATTTTAAGAAAGTCCAATTTATCTATTATTTTCTTGTTCAAATCTAAGAATCCATTGCTAGATCCTAAGTCATGAATATTTTTACTTATAGTTTCCATAGTCTGCTTATATTACCCATCTGTTCTTGCATGTTGTCAACTTTTTAGAGTTCTTTACATATTAATGTTGGTTGTTTTAAATTCTCTGTCTGATATAAATCCAAATCAGTGTTATGCTTGATTCTGGCTCTGAAGTTTGCTTGATTTTTTCAGACTGTATTTGTAATTACTTTTTGGTATAAGTGGTAGCTTTTTGTTGAAAGCCAGACATATTGTACTGGGTGATAAGAACTGAGGAAAAAGTGTCACAGGATCCTTGGGGGTGTCACTTCACCAGGCAGAAATCTCTGTGGCCAGTGGCACCTCTGTCCGAGTTTTTACTCAGCCCCACTGGGTTTATTCTGCCCACTCAGCCTGGCAGGCTGCACTTGGATTGCACTACCAGCCTGAGTCTCATGCCCGCCAAGGTTGAGCCAGGTGCAGAGATGAGAGGGTTGTGTGAATGAGCCATTGTGGGGTCTGGCCACCGTGCACAGCCAGGCATGCTGGCTGCAGCAGGGTGGGCAGCTCCAGGTGCCAGCTCCCTGAAAGGCTGCAGCTGGACCAAGCATACTGCAAGCAGTATTCACTGCTGGCACCAGGAAATGTGGTGGTGCTCAGAAGCTTGGAAGTGCCCAGGAACCTCAGATCCCCAAAGAGGCTGTTACAGCCCTGGCTCGGGGTGCTCCCTAAAGGGCCATGGTTCTTCTCTCCTTCTCTCTTCTCTCTTTCTTGTTGCACACAACATGGTGAGCAAGGGGAGTGTTTCAGTCCTGTTTGTGTTACAGCTCTTTCAGTCCCAACATTCAGCAGGTCCTGAGGTCTTGTCCTGTGTCCTGGAAGAATGAGGTACGTGAACAAGTGGAGGGTGAGCAAAGTGAAGAGGAGCTTTATTGAGCAACAGAATAGCTCAAAGGAGACCTGCAATGGGTCTCTCCATAGGCAGGGCATCCCCGTGAGTGTTCAGCTCTCAGTAGAGAGGAGCAGAGGGGAGCAGTTGTTAGCTCCTCTCTATAGCTGGTGCTTCTGATATCTGCCCAACTCCCAGTAGAGAGGAGACCCTGGAGTGGTAGCTCCTCTCTGCAGCTGGTAGTCTTGATGTCTGCTTGAGTCTGACTGAGTCTGGGGTTTTTATGGGCTTCAGAGGGAAGGAAGTACATGCTGATTGGTTCATGGGGGGCCATGGGCAGGCCTGGAAAAAATATCATAAGTTCAATTCTGGTCCATCAGCCTGGCCTCCAGGCTTCAGGCTGCCCCTGGTTTGAAGGTGGGCCTTCACTGGGGACCTGCCCCTTTCTGCCTAGGAGCCAGTCTGCCTCCTGCTGTCACACACAGTGTCCAGGCTGTTTGTGACCAGGGGCACCTCCAAGCCGAGCTGCCATCAGGATCCCCCTTGGCCTCCCTCCCATGCTAGTCAGTGCCCAAAATCTGGAGGGGGCTGATGGGGCAGGGGGCTGGTGTGTCAACACTGCCCTGAGCATATACACAGCTTGCCGGGTTGTGACAGCATCCAGGCTTGGCCTCAACTTAGCTCTGAGATCAGAGTATGTGCCAGAAACAGGGAGAGGGCAGGCAGTGGGAGCAGGCATTTTTGAACCTGTAGTGGCAGAGGGGGCCTCCCAGGTCCCCAAGAGTGCAGAGACGCCTGGCCAGCAGCCACAGCTGGGCAGCTGCAGCTGTGCCTGGGAGGGGCGGGGCTATCACCCGAAAACTTGGAAGAGGGGCAGGGATTCTGCCTGTTCCCGACTCCTGCCAGCTCCATGGAGTGCGCAGCCCTGGCCAGGCCTCCCCTGCTGCAGCCAGCGTCATGGCAGTGGCTGCTCCAGAAGGACTGCTGCTGCCATCAAGAGGAGTTTAGCATGAAGATTTATATTAATCTGGCTAGGAGTTTGGCTCTGTTTAATGTTTGCTGTGTTTAATGTTTTTGTACTAGAGGTTTCAAATTCCTCTAGTATACTTGTTCTTGTCTCCCCTGTTGTCATTGAGCTTACCTAAGAACTCTTTTCTAGTCAGAGTCTGGTTCTTTTATGTCTTTCAGCAATAATTCACTGTTAATATACTGGAACCCTGTTGGTGTGGTTATAAGGTATAGTGGAGGGAAATACTATAATCTTAAAATGTTGTTTCCATTTTTTAGTGGGCCTGTGTCCCTGGGTTGTGACATACATAAGTGTTTCTTTACTTCCCTTCTCCTGTCCCCATTTGGTGAGACAAGAAGTCTAGAGCAAGGAAAAGAATGTCCAAGGCTCTTCACCATGAAAACCTAGTGGTGTTCCTAGAGGCAAAACCCATACAAGTACAGGAATATGTAGAACAGTTCCCTGGGTGGCCTTGGATTTACCCAGTTTTCCTTCCCTTCCTTGCTTGTAGTTTTCAAGAATAACCATGGAACGTGCTGGTAATGCAATATCCTAAGACAGGAAGGGACTGCTTGAAACAGCCTGGGCTTTGTTCCATTCCCTTCTAGGGAATGTAACATCTTGAGATAGAGTGGAACTTTGTTCCTCTCTTCCCTGGAAGCAGGATGTCCTCCAAAGCTTTTCCCAGTGAGTTGCATAGACCCTGAGGTATATAACTCAGGTGGGCTGACTTTTGGAGTCCCTCAGCTGTGGTCCAAGTGGGGCATGCTTAGCCAGGACAGCATCTGCCCTAAGCAGCTGTCTTGAGCCTTGGGCTTTCTTAAGCCCTGACTCATAATGGATTGTAGGCTTCTTTCATTCCTTTCTGCCTATAAGTAATAAACTCACCTTACATAACTTGTAGCATGTGTGTGTGTGTGTGTGTGTGTGTGTGTGTGTATGTATGTGTGTGTTCTATCTCACTGGACTCAGAGAAGTGGGTAACCACTACATGGTGAATCTGCTTCACAAGACTTCTTAATATTACAGCCTTCAGAAGGTTTTCTCTCATGCTAGTCTGTACTCAACCTCCAGCAATTCATCAAAGTTACCATTTAAGTATTTCTACCTGCTCATGGTTCTACTGCTTCTCCTCTAGCTAAGCACATCTCAGATGCAACTCTTTGGATTTACTTGTTTCTCTAGATTTCCTATGATGTCATCTGTCTAATGGGACCAAGAAAACTCATTGATTTTCATTTTTTACAGCATTTTCTTTCTTGTGCCCAGGAGTGATGAATATCAAGATTTTTACATGTGGAGCTGAAATAGGAAGTCTCTCTAGCAGTACTTTTATTGTCAGATTGCCTGGATGGGCTAGTACTGTTCCACTGTGTTTTCTCTGTGTTCTCACAATTATTCTAGATCACTCCTTGGTTACAAACACTTATATCCATAGCCTAACTATCATCAACCCTGATTCAATATACGTCTGGAGTGGCACTGTTCTTGATCTCCTCCCATTGGCATTTAGCCTCAAGTTTCCTGCATTGTTTTTAGCAACACATAATCTCTTTCTCTATTATCTTACTTCATTCTTATAAAGATATCTTATAGAGTCTCTCTAATTCTATGTATTCCAGCACTGCATAATTTATGATTAGGATATTTTCCATTTCTGATTATTGTGCTTATCTCCAAGTTGTTAAGTGTTTCACTGTCCTCTTATGTATCTTCCAGCACTGCATAATTTATAATTAAAATATTTTTCAATTTCTCATTATTACACTTATCTCCAAGTTGTTAGTGTTTCACAGTCCTTAAGTTTAGGCTTTCCAATCCTGGTAAATGGCTTCAATGGTTTGCACCTATTGGAATCACAGTGGACACAAATCTCATGTCACAAACTCAGTCATGCAAAAACTTTATTGTTTGGGAAAAAGAATAAAAGATGAAATATTTAAACAATAGTAATTACAATAATTTTTTAAGAGATAGGTAATATAAAACTACAAATTATGACATCAACAATTCAGCATGTAGGGAAAAATAGATTTAAAGTGTACGGGGTATTTTTTGTTTTTTTTTTTTCCTTTCTTTGTGATCAAAATTAAGTTGTTATCAGTTTAAAATAACTTGTTATATCTATAGGGGTTTTTTGGTTAACCTCGTGGTAAACACAAAGCAAAAATCTATTTAGATACGTTGAAAATAAAAAGCAAGGAATAGAACATACTACTAAAGAAAATCACTTAACTACAAAGGAAGATTATGAGAGAGGAACAAAGAATCTGCAAAACAACTAGAAGACAAGAAACAAAAAGGCAGTTGTAAGTCCCTGCTTATCAATAATTACCTTGAATATAAGTGGATTAAATTTTCCAATCAAAATACATAGAGAGAGTGACTGAATGGATTAAAAACCAAGGACTAACAAATTGCTGCCTATAAGAGACTCACTTCAGCTGTGAGAACACCCACAGACTGAAAGTGGAGGATGAAAAAAGATATTTCATGCAAATGGAAACAAGAAAAAAAAAAAAACAAGAGTAACTAGACTTGTATCAGATAAAATAGACTTTAAGCCAAAAACTGAAAAGAGACAAGGAAGGTTGTTATATAATGATACAGAAGTCAAGGTAACAAGAGGATATAGCAATTACAAATATATACGCACCTAGTACTGGAGGACTTAAATACATAGGGCTAATATTAATAGAGCTAAGGGAAGAAATAGACTGCAATACAATAATAGTAGGAAACTTCAATTCCCTTGTTTCAGCAATGGACACATCATCCAAACATAAAATCAACCAAAACATCAGAGCTAAACCACATTCTAGACCTAGACCAAATGAACCTAACAGATATTTGTAGAACATTCTATCCAACAGCCATGGAATACTGGTTCTTTTCAACAGCACATGGAAAATCCCCCAGGACAGATTATATATTAGGCCACAAAACAAGTCTTAAATTTAAAAAATAATTTAAAAATCAAAATCACAAAAGTATCATTTATGACCACAAGGGAATAAAACTAGAAATCACTATCAGGAAGAACTTTGGAGACCACATAAATGTATGGAAATTAAACAATATGCTTCTGAAAAACAAAAAGGCCAATGAAAAAATTAAAATGGAACTTTAAAAAACCTCTTGAGACAAATGAAAATGAAAACACAACATACCAATACCTAAGAAATACAACAAAAGCAGTTTTAAGAGGGAATTTTACAGCAATAAATTCTTACATCAAAAGAGTAGGAAGATCTCAAGTAAGCAACCTAACATTGCACCTCAAGAAACTAGAAAAACAAGAACAAACTAAACCCAAAGTTAGTAGAAAAAAGAAACAGTAACAATCAGAGCAGAAATAAAATGGAGACTAAAAAAATACAAAACATCAACAAAATGAGTTTTTTAAAAGACAAAATTAGCAAACCTTTAGCTAGACCAATAAAACAGAAAGAAAATTATATAAATAAAATCAGAAACGAAAAAAGGCATCAAAACTAATACCACAGAATACAAAGGATTACGAGAGACTGTTATGAACAAGTATACACCAACAAATTGGAAAACTTAGAAGAAATGGATAAATTCCTGAACACATGCAAGCTCCATGACTGAATTATGAACAAATAGAAAACCTTAACAGACCAATAGTGAATAATGAGCTTGAATCTGTAATAAAAAGTTTCCTATCAAAGAAAAGGCCAGGACCCAATGTCTTTACTATTGAATTATGAAAACATTTAAAGAAGCACTAATGCCAATTCTCAAATTATTCCAAAAAATAAAGAGGAAGAAATTCTTCCAAACTGATTCTATGAGGTTAGTATTACCCTGATACAAAAATCAGACAAAAAAGAAAGCTATAGACCAATGTTCTTGGTAAATAGATGCAAAAGTTGGCAGCAAAGTACTAGCAAATTGAATCTAACAGCACATGAAAAACATCATTGACCATGACAAAATGGGATTCATCCCAGGGATTCAAGGATGATTCAACATATGCAAATCAATAAATGTGACATCAACATAAACAGAATTAAGGAGAAAACCCATATGATAATATAAATAGACATAGAAAAACATTTGATAAAATTCAACATCCCTTCATGATAAAAATTCTAAGGAAATTAGGTATAGAAAGAACATACATCAACACAATAAAAGCCATATATTACAAACCCACAGATATCATCATAGTAAATAGGGAAAAGTTGAAAGCTTTTTAATCTAAAATCTAGAACTAAACAAGGATGTCCACTTTTACAACTCCCATGCACAATAGTACTGGAAGTTCTAGTCGGAGCAATTAGGCAAGAGAAAGAAAGGGCATTCACATTGGAAATGAAGAATTCAGATTGGCCCTATATGCAGGTGAAATAATATTAAATATAGAAAGCCCTATAGATTCCATAAAAATCTGTTAGAACTAATAAACAAATTTAGTAATGTTATAGGATACAAAATCAACAGACAAAAATCAGTAGTGTTTCTATATGCCAATGGTGAACTATCCGAAAAAGAAATCAAGAAACAATTCTACTTACAGTAGCTACAAAAAAACACATAGGAACAAATGTAACTAAGGAGATAAAAGATCTCTACAGTAAAACTATAAAACATTGATGAAAGAAATCAAAGAGGACACAAACACCTAGGAAAATATCATGTATTCACAGATTGGAAGAATTAATATTGTCAAAGTGTCCACACTACCTAAAGTGATATATAGATTCAATGCAATCCCTATCAAAATACCAATCACTATGTTTTTTACAGAAATAGAAGAAATAATTTAAAAAATTGTATGGAACCACAGATGACCCAAGATATCCAAAGCAATCTTAATAAAAAAAGGACAAAGCTGGAAGTACCATATTACATGACTTCAAAATATATTATAAAGTAATAAAAAGCAAAAAGCATGATACTGGCATGAAAACAGACTCATAGAGCAATGGAACAGAGTAGAGAACTCAGAAATAAATCTACACATTTACAGTCAACTGATTTTTAACAAAAGTAACAAGAACACACTTTGGAGAAAAGATGGCCTCTTCAATAAATGGTCTTGAGAAAACAAAATATCCACATGCATAGGAATCAAACTAGACCCCTATCTCTCAACACTTACAAAAATCAACTCAACTCAAAATAGATTAAAAACTTACATGTAAGACCCAAAACTATGAATCAAATAGAAGAAAACAGGAAAAACCCTTTGTGACATTGGTCTAGGCAAGGATTTTTTTAAATAAAACCTAAAAAGCACAGGCAACAAAAGCAAATATAAACAAATGGAATTTTATTAAACTAAAAAGTTTCTACACAGCAAAGGAAACAATCAACTGAATTGATTAGGTATAGAAGGAACAGAGATACAACCCACAGAATGGGAGAAAATATTTACCAGCTATACATCTGGCAAAGGGTTAATGTCCAGAATATATAAGAAACTCAAACAACTCAATGTGTGTTATATACATATATAACACATATACATATCTGATATACATATATCTGATTTACATATGTGAATTTATATTTGAACTCACATTGAACTCACATTGAGTTGTTTGAGTTTCTTATATCAGATATAGATATATATCAGATGTCTGTATCTGACCTGATTTAAAATGGGCAAAAAAAACTGAATAGACATATTTCAAAAGAAAACACACAGAACATACAGGCATATGAAAAAAAGCACAACATTAGTAATTATTATGAAAATGCAGATCACAATCACAAGGAGCTAGCACTTCACCCCAATTAGAATGACTATTATCAAAGAGACAAAAATAACAAATGCTGGTGATTATGTGGAGGAAGAAGAACTCTTATACACAGTGTGTGGAAATGTAAATTGGTACAGCCATTATGAACAACAGTATGAATGTTCTTTAAAATATTAAAAATAGAATTACTATGTGATCCGACAATCCCACAACTGGGTATATATTCAAAGGAAATGAAATCAGTATGTCCAAAAAGATATCTCCACTCTTATTTTTGTTGCCACAGTATTTTCAGTAGCCAAGATATGAAATCAACCTAAGTGTCCATCAACAAGTAAATGGATTAAAAAATGTGGAGGAATGGAGAGAAGGTCAATGGGTACAAAGTTAGAGTTTGATTGACTGATAGGTTGATTTCATATCTTGGCTATTGAAAAAACTGTGGCAATAAAAATGAGAGTTGACATACTGATTTCATTTCCTTTTAATATATACCCAGTAGTGGGATTGTGGGATCACATAGTAATTCTATTTTTAATATTTTATATTAGTATAGTATTCCATATATACAATGGAATACTATTCAGCCATAAAAGAATAAAATTTGGTCATTTGCAACAATATGGATGAACCTGGAGGATATTATATTAACTGAAATAAACCAAGAACAGAAGGACAAATGCTGCATTATCTCACTCTTATGTGAAATCTAAAAATGTTGATGTCACAGAAATAGAGATTAGAATAGTAGTTATCAGAGTGTAGGGAGGGTAAATGGGAGAAGGAATGGAGAGAAGGTTAATGGGTACAAAGTTATAGTTAGGAGGAATAAGTTCTGACTTTCTTTTAGAAAATATGATGACTATAGTTAACAACGATGTATTATATATTTCAAATACTTAGGAGAGAGGATTTTGAATGTTCTCACCACAAAGAAATGACAAGTGTTTGAGGTGATGGATATGCTAATTACCCTAAGTTGATCATTATACAATGTATACATGTACTGAAACATCACACTGTACCCATAAATATGTGCAATTATTTGTCTGTTAAAAACAAAATAAAAGTTTTTAAAACTTTTATTTTTCTCAAATTGGGCTTAAATGTCTATCTCAATCCCCCATTTGAACAACACTGCAGAAAATTAGTCTTAATCAATTTAAGGTAATCCTTGCCGTTTGAGGTTTTGTTCAATACTGCATTGAATTTCCTGAAAATGTACACAAGTCAAGGCACTGATGTATATAAAGAGAGAAGAGCAATATGGCCCACGTATTAGGTTGTTCTTGCTACAAAGAAAACTGAATCTTGGTAATTTATTAAAAGAAAAAAAAAGGTTTAATTGGCTCACGGTTCTGCAAGCTGTACAGCATGGTGCTGGCATCTGCTGAGTTTCTGGGAAGGCCTCAGGGAGCTTTTACTTATGGCAGAAGGCAATGTAGGTGCAGACGCATCACATGGACAGAGCCAGAACAAGAGAGAGTGTTGGGGGGAGGTGCAATACACTTTTAAACAACCAGATCTCATGAGAACTCACTCACTATTGTGAGGATGGCATTAAGCCATGAATGATCCACCCCCATGACCCAAACACCTTCCACTAGGCCCCACCTCCAACACTGGGGATTACATTTCAACATGAGATTTGGAGGGAGCTTCCAAACTATATCAACCCCCATGGTCTTTTCCTTCCCATTGACATCCATGGAGGCTTCTTTGGTTCTGTTGGAGTTCTGGTCATCCATATGAGTCAGCATTAGACACTACAATTTCTTCTACTTGTAGCCTCACTGTAGATCTGATGATTTATAAGGACACATTCTGCACTATTACCAGTCACATTGGATAACACTTGCCTGCCCCTATGTGATAATAAGACAGCCAATGAATATTCCAAGTTGGCTCCAGGGCTGACTGTCTTACACTTCATGCATCTAATTCTACTCAAATTCTCCCATGTGGTATATTGCCTCAAAGGTCCCCAGAGGTGAAGCAATTGCTGGTTTTCATTAATCCAGATATCCAAGTCTATTTTGAATTTCTAATGTCATTCCAAACCACATTATTCTTTTAAAAAGGGTAATCAGGATATGGGCACATTTTCCAGTCAGCCTTACTGGTTTCTAATCTAATACTCTGTCAGTTTTCTTACTTCCTGACCTAGAGGCTTTAATGCAACAGTGGTAAAAAGAAAAAAAAAATCTTGGTTGGGCATGGTGGCTCATCCCTGTAATCCCAGTGCTTTGGGAGGCTGAGACGGGAGGATCCCTTGAGGTCAGGAATTCGAGACCATCCTGGTCAGCAGAGCAAGACCTTGTCTATAATAAAAATAAAAAAATAAAAATAAAAAAATTAACAGGGTGTAGTGACATCCACCTATAGTCCAAGATACTCAGAAAGCTGAGGCAGGAGAGTCACTTGAGCTCAATAATTAAAGGCTTCAGTGAGCTATGATCACACTACCGCACTCCAGCCTGGGCAACAGAGTGACACCATGTCTCTAAAAAATAAATAATAAAAACAAATAATTTTTTATTATTTGAAAAATCTATTGTTTATGAAATAAACTTTATACTCCAAGTTTATTGTTGATTCTGACCTGAATTTCAATTGTTATTTTTAACCCAAATAGAAAGCTCCAGCTTCATAGTCTAGCTTTAGTGGGATTAAGACTATAGAATGAAAAAAAAACTAGTGAAAACTAAAAGCACATTTATCAATATTTAAAAATAGTTGTATAGAGGGGGCTGGCAAGATGGTCGAATAGGAACAGCTCCAGTCTGCAGCTCCCAGCAAGACCAATGCAGAAGGTGGGTAATTTCTGCATCTCCAACTGAGATACCTGGTTCATCTCATTGGGATTTGTTAGATGGTGGGTGTATCCCATGGAGGGAGAGCGGAAGTAGGGAGGAGTGTCCCTCACCCGGGAAGCACAAGGGGTCAGGGAACTCCCTCCGCTAGCTAGGGGAAGCCATGAGGGACTGTACCATGAGCAATGGTCCATTCCAGCCCAGATACTATGCTTTTCCCACAGTCTTCACAAACCACAGACCAGGAGATTCCCTTGGGTGCCTACACCACCAGGGCCCTGGGTTTCATGCACAAAACTAGGCAGCTGTTTGGGCAGACACTGAGCTAGCTGCAGGAGTTTGTTTCATACCCCAGTGGTGCCTGGAACACCAGCGAGACAGAACCATTCATTCCCCTGGAAAGGGGGCTGAAGCCAGTGAGTGGAGTGGTCTTGCTCAGCGGATCTCACCCCCATGGAGCTCAGCAAGCTAAGATCCACTGGCTTGAAATTCTTGCTGCCAGCAGAGCAGTCTGAAGTCGACCTGGGATGCTCAAACTTGGTTCAGGGAGGGACGTCTGCCATTACAGAGGCTTGAATAGGTGGTTTTGCCCTCATGGTGTAAACAAAGCCATTGGGAAGTTCGAAATGGGTGCTGAACCCACTGCAGTGTGGCAAAGCCACTGTAGCCAGACTGCCTCTCTAGATTCCTCCTCTCTGGGCAAGGCATCCCTGAAAGAAAGGCAGCAGCCCCAGTCAGGGGCTTATAGATAAAAGTCCCATCTCCCTGGGACAGAGCACCTGGGGGAAGAGACAGCTGTGGGTGCAGCTTCAGCAGACTTAAATGTTCTTGCCTGCCAGCTCTGAAGAGAGCAGCAGATCTCCCAGCACAGTGCTTGAGCACTGCTAAGGGACAGACTGCCTCCTCAAGTGGGTCCCTGACCCCCCGTGCCTCCTGACTGGGAGACAACTTCCAGCAGGGGGCGATAGACACCTTATACAGCAGAGCTGTGGCTGGCATCTGGCAGGTGCCCCTCTGGGATGAAGCTGCCGGAGCAAGGAGCAGGCAGGAATTTTTGCTGTTCTGCAGCCTCCGCTGGTGATAACCAGGCAAACAGGGTCTGGAGTGGACCTTCAGCAAACTCCAGCAGACCTACAGAGGAGGAGCCTGACTGTTACAAGGAAAACTAACAAACAGAAAGCAATAGCTTTCAACATCAACAAAAAGGATGCCCACCCAAAAACTCCATCCAAAGGTCAACAACATCAAAGAACAAAGGTAGACAAATCCATGAATATGAGGAAAAACCAGCACAAAAAGGCTGAGAATTCAAAAACACAGAATGCCTCTCCTCCTCCAAAGAATCACAACTCCTTGCCAGCAAGGGAACAAAACTGGACAGAGAATGAGTCTGATGAACTGACAGAAGTAGGCTTCAGAAGGAGGGTAATAACAAACTCCTCTGAACTAAAGGAGCACTTTCTAACCCAATACAAGGAAGCTAAGAACCTTGATAAAAGGTTATAGGAACTGCTAACTAGAACAACCAGTTTAGAGAAGAACATAAATGACCTGACGGAGTTGAAAAACACAGCACAAGAACTTTGCGAAGCATACACAAGTATCAATAGCCAAATCAATGAAGCAGAAGAAAGGATATAAGAGATTGAAATTCAAAGTATTGAAATAAAGCCTGAAGAAAAGAATGGAGAAAAAAGAATGAAAAGGAATGAACAAAGCCTCCAAGAAATACGGGACTATGTAAAAATACCAAACCTACGTTTGATTGGTGTACCTGAAAGTGATGGGGAGAATAGAACCAAGTTGGAAAACACACATCATGATTGTTATCCAGGAGAACTTCCCCAACCTAGCAAACCAGGCCAACATTCAAATTCAGAAAATACAGAAAACACCACAAAGATACTCCTTGAGAAGAGCAACTCCAAGATTCATAATCGTCAGATTCACCACTGATTCCACAGAGATATAAACTACCATCAGAAAATACTATAAGCCAGAGAGAAGGGTCAGGTTACCCACAAAGGGAAGACCATCAGACTAACAGCTGATCTCTTTGCAGAAACCCTACAAGCCAGAAGAGAGTGGTGGCCAATATTCAACATTCTTAAAGAAAAGAATTTTCAACCCAGAATTTCATATCCAGCCAAACTAAGCTTCATAAGCAAAGGAAAAATAAAATCCTTTACAGACAAGCAAATGCTGCTGACAAAATCTCCACCAGGCCCGCCTTACAAGAGTTCCTGAAGGAAGCACTAAACATGGAAAGGAACAACCGGTACTAGCAACTGCAAAAGCATACCAAATTGTAAAGACCATCAACACTATGAAGAAACTGCATCAACTAATGAGCAAAATAACCAGCTAGCATCATAATGACAGGATCAAATTAACACATAACAATAGTAACCATAAATATAAATGGGCTAAATGCCCCAATTAAAAGACACAGACTGGCAAATTGGATAAAGAGTCAAGACCCATTGGTGTGCTATATTCAGGAGACACATCTCATGTGCAAAGACACACATAAGCTCAAAATAAAGGGATGGGGGAATACTTACAAAGCAAATGGACAGCAAAAAAAAGTAGGGGATGCAATCCTAGTCTCTGACTAAACAGACTTTAAACCAACAAAG
Source organism: Homo sapiens (assembly GCF_000001405.40). NCBI lineage: Eukaryota > Metazoa > Chordata > Mammalia > Primates > Hominidae > Homo > Homo sapiens. The sequence goes on from NC_000004.12 coordinate 111,166,436, forward strand.
ATCAAAAAAGACAAAGAAGCACATTACATAACAGTAAAGGGATCAATGCAACAGGAAGAGCTAACTATCCCAAATACATATGCATCAAATACAGAAGCACCCAGATACATAAAGCAAGTCCTTAGAGACCTACAAGGAGACTTAGACTCCCACACAATAATAGTGGGAGACTTAACACCCCACCGTCAGTATTAGACAGATCAACGAAACAGAAAATTAACAAGGATATTCAGGACTTGAACTCAACTCTGGACCAAGCAGACCTAATAGACATCTACAGAACTCTCCACCCAAATCAACAGAATATACATTCTTCTCAGCACCACATAGCACTTGTTCTAAAATTGATCACATAATTGGAGTAAAACACTTCTCAGCAAATGCAGAAGAATGGAAATCATAACAGTCTCTCAGACCACAGTGCAATCAAATTAGAACTCAGGATTAAGAAATTCACTGAAAACCACACAACTACATGAAAACTGAACAACCTGCTCCTGAAGACTACTGGGAAAATAACAAAATTAAGGCAGAAATCAAGAAGTTCTTTGAAACCAACGAGAACAAAGACACAACATACCAGAATCTCTGGGACACAGCTAAAGCAGTGTTAAGAGGGAAATTTATAGCACTAAGTGCCCACAAGAGAAAATGGGAAAGACTTAAAATCGGCACCCTAACATCACAATTAAAAGAACTAGAGAAGCAAGAGCAAACAAATTCAAAAGCTACCAGAAAACAAGAAATAGCTAAGGTCATAGCAGAACAAAGGAGATACAGACACAAAAAAACCTTCAAAAAATCAATGAATCCAGGAGCTGATTTTTTGAAAAGATTAACAAAATAGACCACTAACCAGACTAATAAAGAAGAAAAGACAAGAATTAAATAGATGCAATAAAAATGATAAAGGGGATATCACCACTTATCCCACAGAACTAAAAACTACCGTAAGAGAATACTATAAACACCTCTACGCAAATAAACTAGAAAATCTAGAAGAAATGGATAATTTCCTGGACAAAAATACCCTCCCAAGAGTAAACCAGGAAGAAGTTGAATCCCTGAATAGACCAATAACAAGTTATGAAATTGAGGCAGTAATTAATAGCCTACCAACCAAAAAATGCCTGGGACCAGACAGGTTTACAGCCAAATTCTACCAGAGGTACAAAGAGGAGCTGGTACCATTTTTATGAAACTATTCCAAACAATAGAAAAAAAAGGGGCTCCTCCCTAACTCATTTTATGAGGCCAGCATTATTCTTATACCAAAACCTGACAGAGACACAACAAAAAAAAGGAACATTTCAGGCCAATATCCCTGATGAACATACATGCAAAAATCCTCAATAAAATACTGGCAAACTGAATCCAGCAGCACATTCAAAAGCTTACCCACCACAATCAAGTCGACTTCATCCCTGGGATGCAAGGCTGGTTCAACATACACAAATCAGTAAATGTAATCCATCACATGAACAGAACCAAAGACAAAAACCACATATTATCTCAATAGATGCAGAAAAGGCCTTCAATAAAATTCAACACCCCTTCATGCTAAAAACTCTCAATAAACTAGGTATTGATGGAACGTATCTCAAAATAATAACAGCTATTTATGACAAACCCACAGCCAATATCATACTGAATGGGCAAAAACTGGAAGCATTCCCTTTGAAAACCGGCACAAGACAAGGTTGCCCTGCCTCACCACTCCTATTCAACATAGTATTGGAAGTTCTGGTCAGGTCAATCAGGCAAGAGAAAGAAATAAAGAGTATTCAAATAGGAAGAGAGGAAGTCAAATTGTCTCTATTTGTAGATAACATGATTGCATATTTAGAAAACCCCATTGTCTTAGCCCAAAAACTCCTTAAGGTGATAAGCACCTTCAGCAATGTCTCAGGATACAAAATCAATTTTCAAAAATCACAAGCATTCCTAGACAACAATAATACACAAATACAGAGTCAAATCATGAATGAACTCTGATTCACAATTGCTACAAAGAGAATAAAATACCTAGGAATACAACTTACAAGGGATGTGAAGGACCTCTTCAAGGAGAATTACAAACCACTGCTCAAGGAAATAAGAGGACACAACAAAGGGAAAAACATTCCATGCTCATGGATAGGAAGAAAGAATATCATGAATATGGCCATACTGTCCAAAGTAATTTATAGCTTCAATGCTATCCCCATTAAGCTACCATTGACTTTCTCCACAAAATTAGAAAAAAAACTACTTTAAATTTTATATGGAAGCAAAAAAGAGCCCGTATAGCCAAGAAAATCCTAAGCAAAAAGAACAAAGCTGGAGGCATCACACTTGCTGACTTCAAACTATAGTACCAGGCTACAGTAACCAAAACAACGTGGTACTGGTACCAAAACAGATATATAGACCAATGGAACAGAACAGAGTTCTCAGAAATAAAACTACATATCTACAACCATCTGATCTTTGACAAACTTGACAAAAACAAGCAATGGGGAAAGGATTCCCTATTTAATAAATGGTGTTGGGAAAACTGGCTAGCCATATGCAGAAAACTGAAACTGGACCTCTTCCTTACACCTTATACAAAGATTAACTCAAGATGAATAAGGACCTAAATGTGAGACCTAAAACCATAAAAACCCTAGAAGAAAACCTAGGCAATACCATTCAGGGCATAGACATAGGCAAAGACTTCATGACTAAAACACCAAAAGCAATTGCAACAAAAGCCAAAATTGACAAATGGGATCTAATTAAACTAAAGAGCTTCTGCACAGCAAAAGAAACTATCATCAGAGTGAACAGGCAACCTACAGAATGGGACAAAATTTTTGCAATCTATCCATTCAACAAAGGGCTAATATCCAGATTATACAAAGAACTTAAACAGATTTATAAGAAAAATCAAACAACCCCATCAAAAAGTGAGCAGAGGATATGAACAGATACTTCTCAAAAGAAGACATTTATGCTGTCAACAAACATATGAAAAAAAAGCTCATCATCACCGGTCATTAGAGAAATGCAAATCAAAACCACAATGAGATACCTTCTCATACCAGTTAGAATGGCAATCATTAAAACGTCAGGAAACAGATGCTGGAGAGGATGTGGAGAAATAGAAATGCTTTTACACTGTTGGTGGGAGTGAAAATTAGTTCAACCATTGTGGAAGACAATGTGGCGATTCCTGAAGGATCTAGAAGCAGAAATACCATTTGACCCAGCAATCCATTACTGGGTATATTCCCAAAGTATAAATCATTCTGCTATAAAGACACATGCACACATATGTTTATTGCAGCACTATTTGCAAGAGCATAGACTTGGAACCAACCCAAATGCCCATCAATGATAAACTGGATGAAGAAAACATGGCACATATACACAATGGAATACTATGCATCCATAAAAAAGGATGAGTTCATGTCCTTTGCAGGGGCATAGATGAGGCTGGCAACCATCATTCTCAGCAAACTAACACAGGAACAGAAAACCAAACACAGCATGTTCTCACTCGTAAGTGGGAATTGAACAATGAGAACACATGGACACAGGGAACATCACACACTGAGGCCTGTTGGGGGTTGGGGGCAAGGGGAGGGATAACATTAGGAGAAATACCTAACGTAGATGGCGAGTTGATGGGCGCAGCAAACCACCATGGCATATGTATATCTACGTAACAAACCTGCACATTCTGCCCATGTATCCCAGAACTTAAAGTATATATAAAAAAATGTTGTATCGTACCCCAAGTTATTTTATTTTAAAACATAGTCTTTCTTCTTTGGATCAGTTTTAGGTTCACAGCAAAAGTGGGTGGTAAGTACAGAGATTTCCCATATGCTTCCTCCCACAACATGCACACTGCCTATCAACATCCTGCAACAGTGATTCATTTGTTACATCAATGAAACTATAGTGACACGTCTTTATCACCTAAAATCCATATTTTCTAATAAGGTTCTCTTTGTGTATATTATATGGCTTTTATAAATGTATAATGACATACATCCATATTTATAATATACACAGTAATTTCACTGCCCTAAATATGCTCTGTGGTTCACCTGTTCAATCTTCCCTTCCTCTAACCTCTGGCATCCACTGATCTTTTAGTAACTTGAAAGATTTGCCTTTTCTAGAATGTCATATAGTTGAAATCATACAGTACATAGTCTTCTGGATTGACTTTGTTTCATTAGTGGTATGCATTTAATGTTCCTCCATGTCTTTTTATGGTTTGATAGCTCATTTCTTTATAGCACTGGATAATATTTCATTGCCTAGATTTACCACAGTTTATCCATTAAGCTACTGAAGAATATCTTGGCTGCTTCCAAGTTTTGGCAATTATGAATAAATCTATCATAAACATCCATGGCTCTCCTGATCCTCAGTCTTTTGGGATCGAGACTGAAACTACATCATCAACTCTCTGGGGTCTCCACCTTGCTAACTGTAGATCTTGTGACTTCTCAGCCTTCATAATCACATGTGTCAATTCCTTATAATGAATTTTATGTATAGCTACGTATTTGTTGTGAAAATTCCCTTCCAGCTCCAAGAATGACCCTCTTTAAGCAGAGGGCGATCTCAGACCAAAGCAAGAGGCAGAATACTCTAGGTTGGTAGGTAGTCAAAAATTTATTCAGGGGAAAATTACATATGAGGCGGTCTTGGGCAGAGCAAGATGAGATAGATCACATTTGCAATGCATGCCCATCTATTCTTTTATACCATGCAAAGAAAAAGGAGAGGAAAAGGAGGAAAAAAGTCACTGATGGCATGTGAAGCAGTCTGGTTCCTTTGTTAACCTATTCACTCTCTGCTTAAAGAGATTGTTGGGTTTCCCTACAACCTAGTCAACATTCCTAAGTGTCTGTGTAAGGGTGTTCAGAGCAGCAGCAGCTATCTTGGTTCTCTGGTCACAGCTCACTTTGAGGTCAAATATATAGAATATATTTTATATTTTCACAACACTATATGTCTATGTATCTATTATCTATCTATCTAATCTCTATCTAATCTATCTATCATCTATCTATCTATATCTATCTGTCTATCATCTATCTATCCAATTTATCTCCTGTTGTTTCTGTTTCTCTGAAGAACCTTTACTAATACAGATTTTTAATACCAAGTGTGGTTCTAAAGAAACAGAATGTTAAAGATGAGTTTTCAGAGTTGGTTCCAGGGCTTCTGGAATTGGCTCTCTAATCTGAACGGATTTAAAGTTGCTAATGACTCTATTTCCAGTTGTACAGAGAGAACTGATAGTCTATGGTGTAATCTGTCAATAGAAATACACAAAACACCTCCATTAAATTCTCCTAATAAACCACTTATAAGAAGCAAGGAGCTGAGTGACTGTGAAGATAACATTTCTGAACATTTTTAGAAAAGTAACAAATATAATGAGGTTGGCAGGCTGCTTTTAATGTCTCTGGAAAAAGTGGTGAGAGAAAAGAATGAGCTTAGGGATTCGAATTCCCAGCTTAAGCATTCCATGAAGGACTTGAAAGCTTCTATGTGTTCCCTGAATGAGGTTCTTATCTCCTATAGCCACAAGGATGAGATTGCAAGAAATCAAATGCAGAATCTCATCTTGGGACTGGCTGAATTATGACACAAGTTAACTCTCAGCTTCAAGGGTGTGCGTACTGTTAAAGTGAAGGCATTTATTGGGAAAAAATGAAATACTGTAAGATAGAATGGAGAGGTCTGGGAATACCCTGATGAAGCTGAGGATGTTGAGTCCCTAAATTCTGACAAGTCTTCTTTGTCAGTGGAAGCAGACTTCCCACCCCTGGTAGAAGTGACCTCTCCATCCCTAGTGGTAGCAGCTTCCCCAACCTCACTAGTAGCAACCTTCCTACCCTTCTGAAGGGATTAATCCTGCATAGCCTGAGGTAAGTGTAATGACCTGCCCTGAGGCACTTGCCAGGAAAGATAATGCTTATTCTTCATAGGACCCATCCCTACCACCCCTTTTTACCTCCAGACCTATAACTAGATTCCAAGTCTTAGCATGCCCCTAAAGGTGAGGTCTAATATGAGACCCATGAGCTTGTATGCTGCATTCCAAAAGAACTACTTAAGTTTCCTAATTTATATAGACAGAAATCTGGGGAACATGTGTATAAATGAATGTTGAGGGTGTGGAATAATGGTGGAAGAAACATAGAGTTGGATCAAGACAAATTTACTGATAAAGGCTCACTAACCAGAGCTTTTGCATTTAACGTTGTATCTGGGGGAGTTAATGAGGGCTGTAACAGTTTTCTTGGGTGATTGACTGAAACATGGACCAACATGACATGAAACATGGACAATGAAATAATTAGAAACACTGGACCTGCCTTAGTTTAATTTACTGGAAGGGATTAAAAAGCTTAGGGAGATTGAATTATTAGAGTAGATTTGTCATTTAAGACCTACTCACTTACACTGGGAGGGTCCCAAAGTCATACCTATTACCACTACTGTGAAAAGTAAATTTGTGAAGGGGATCCCCAGCATCCTTGAAGAGTTCTGTGATTATTACTTTTTGTAGGCCAGATGTTAGAGTGGGGACTGCAGTACTGACCTAAAGGCAGTAGGTGTAACTGGATCCCAGGATAGAGGTAGCTAAGTAGCAGCACTCATCCTCCAAAAGCAATTTGGCTGTGGTTACTAGAGAGGACAGCAGAGTTAAAGCAGCAATCAGGATGTTCTGGCTCACACAGACTTATGGAATTGGCTAATTGATTCTGGTGTTTCTATAAGTGAAATTGATAGGAAGTCTATTAAATTTTTGTTTAATTTGTATAAGCCAGGTCAAATGAATAAAAAGTCTCACCTAAATTATAAAAACAGGATGTCACAGTCCCTCAATCAATTCCCAGATTTGAGCTATTGTACCCTTGAATGAAGAAAAGGCAAAGTCCCCTTATAAAAGGACCCCAGTACACTATCAAAAATTGATACTGTTTATTTTTCTCCAAACCTTTTCTAAAGGGGCCTATCGGGACTTTTACCAAGGTAATGATATATTGGGGGAAAATAATCAGACCTTTCAGGGACTACTAGACACAAGCTCTGAACTAATTCCAAGAAACACAAAACATCCCTTTAGTTCATTAGTTCAGAGTAGGGGCTTATGGAGATGAGATAATCAATGGAGTTTTAGCTCAGGTCCATCTCACAGCAGGCCTAGTGGGTCCCTGTGGCTATTTCCCTATTTTTGGAATGCATAATTGCAAATAGATAGATTCAGCTGCTGGTAGACTCCCTAAGTTTGTTCCTTGACATGGAGTGAGGGCTATTATGGTGGGAAAGGCCAAGTGGAAGCCACTAGAACTGCCTCTACCTAGGGAACTAGTAAACCACAAGCAGTACCACATTCTTGGAAGGATTGCAGAGATCAGTGCAACCTTGAAAGATTCAAAGGTGGTGATTCTCATCACATTCTATTAAACATGTCAATTTGGCCTGAACAGAAGAAAGATGGATCTTTGAGAATGGCAGTGGATTATTGTAAGCTTAGCCAGGTGGTGACTGCAATTGCAGCGGCTGTACCAGATGTGGTTTCATTGCTTGAGCAAATTAACACATCCTCTGGTATCTTCTATGCAGCTATAGATCTGACAAATGCTCTTTTCTTGATACCTGTGAGTAGAGACCACCAGAAGCAGATTGCTTTTAACTGCCAAGGCTAGTAATTCAAGGCTAGCAATTCACCTTCACTGTCTTACACCAGGTCTGTATCAACTCTATAGCTCTATGTTATAGTTCAGTTTGTAGTAATATTGGTCTTCTTTTCCTTCTACAAGACACTGGCTCATTACATTGATGCCATTATGCTAACTGGACCTAATGAACAAGAAGTGGCAACTAATCTTTACTTATTGGTAAGATATTTGTGTGTCAGAGGGTAGAAAATGAATCCAAAAACATTCAGGAGCCTTCAAAACCAATGGAATTTCTAGGGTTCCAGTAGAGTGGGAAATGTTCAGATATTCCTTCTAGGTTGAGGGATGAATTGTTGCCAAATGAGTCACAATGCTTAGTGGGCTTCTTTGGATTTTGGAGACAACATATTCATCATTTGGGTGTGTAACTGCAATCTATTTACCAAGTGACACAAGGAGTTGACTGGGGCCCAAAGCAGGAGAAGGCCCTGCAACAGGTCCAAGCTGCTGTGCAAGCTTCTTTGTCACTTGGGTCATTTGATCCAGCAGATCCAATTGTGCTTGAAATATCAGGCAGATAAGGGTGTTTGAAGCCTTTGTAGCCACTATAGATGAATCATAGCATAGGCCCTTAGGCATTTGGAATAAAGCCTTGCCACCCTCTTCAGATACCTACTCTTCTTTTGAGAACCTGCTACTAGGCCTTAGTAATGACTGAACACATAAGCATGGACCACCAAATAACCACACAATTGAAGCTGCCCCTCATGAACTGGGTGCTGTCTTACTCCTAAGCTATAAAGTTGGTGTGACAGGAGAATTTCATCATGAAATGAAGGTGTGATCAGGTTTGAGCAGGCCCTGAAGGCACAAGTAAGTTACATGAAGTGGCCCAAATGCTCATGGTTCCATTGCTGCTACACTGTTTTCCCTCTCCCAGTCTGTACCTGTGACTTCATGGGGAATTAGCTATGATCAGTTGACAAAGAGAAGACTAAGTTATGGTTTACAGTTCTGAATTTTATGTTGACACTACCCAAAAGTGAACAGCTGCAGCACTATAGCCTCTTTCTGAGACATTCTTGAAAGGCAGTGGTAAAGGTGAATTCTCCCAGTGGGTAGAACTTCAAGCACTGCACATGGTTGTCAACTTCGGTTGAAAGGAGAAATGACCAGACTTGTGATTATACTCTGATTCACGGGCTGTGGCCAATGGTTTGGCTGGACAGTCAGAGACTTGGAAGAAACATGCTTAGAAAATTGGCTACAAAATATTTGGAGGAGACGTGTTTTACCTCTCTGGGCAAAAACAATGCAGATATTTGTATCCCATGTGGATATTCACCAAAGAATGATTTCAGCAGAGAAGGATTTTAATAAATCAAGTGGATAGGATGACCTGTTCTATGGATACCAGTCAGCCTCTTTCTCTAGCTACTTTGGTCTTTGCCCAATGGGTTCATGAATAAAGTGACTGTGGTGGCAGCAATGGAGGTTATGCATATGCATATGCAACATAAACTTACACTTACCAAGGCCAATCTAGACATGGCTATTACTCAGTGCCCAAACTGCCAGTAGCAGAGACAAATACTGAGTTCCTGATATGGCAGCATTCCCTAGAGTGATTAGCCAGATACCCAGTGGCAGGATGATTACACTGGACATCTTCCATGATGGAAGGGGAATAATTTTGTCCTTCCTGAAATAGACAACAAACAGATGATTTGATTTATCTCCCCTGCATATAATGCTTATGCCAAAACTACCATCTGTGGGCTTACAGAGTGCCCTATCCACTCTCTTAGTCCATTTGTGCTGCTTTCACAAAACACCTTAGACAGATAATTTATGAAGAACAGAAATTTATTTTTTGCAGTTCTGGAGTTGAGACATCCAATATTAAGGTACTGTCACTGGTGTCTGGTGAGGCTGCTCTCTGCTTTCGAAAAGGTGCCATGTCACTGTGTCCTCATATGTCAAAAATTGGAATGGCAAGAGAGTACTCTCTTCAAATCTTTTATAAGGATACTGATTTAATTTATGAGGGTGGAGCCCTCATGACTTAATCTTCCTCCAAGGGCAACAACTCTTAATACTGTTGCAGTGAGGATTAAATTTCAACATAAATTTGGAGATGACACCATCACTTAAACCATAGTATCCACCATCATGGTATTCCACTCAACGTTGCCTCTGACCAAATAAGCTCAGGAATCAGCCCATGCTTATGGAATTTAGTGGTCTTACCATGTTCTCCACCATCCTAAAGTTGCTGGCTTGATAGAATGGTGGAATGGCTTTTGAAGACTCAGTTACAGTTCCAGCAAGGTGGTAATACCTTGCAGAGCTGGGACAAGGTTCTTTATTACAGAAGGCTGTATATTATGTGGATTAGTGTCCAATATATGATAATATTTCTCTGATGGGCAGGATTCATGGCTCCAGGAACCAAGGTATAAAAATGGGAGTGGTACCGCTCACTCTTACCCTCAGTGTCCTCCTAGCAAAGTGTTTATTTTCTCTTCTTATGACCTCATGCTCTGCTGGCTTAGAGTTCTTTGTTCCTAATGGAGTAATGCTTCCAACAAGAGATACAACAGGCCGGGCGTGGTGGCTCACGCCTGTAATCCCAGCACTTTGGGAGGCCGAGGCGGGTCGATCACAAGGTCAGGAGATCGAGACCATCCTGGCTAACATGGTGAAACACCGTCTGTGTTAAAAATACAAAAAAAAAAATTAGCCGGGCAAGGTGGCGGGTGCCTGTAGTCCCAGCTACTCGGGAGGCTGAGGCAGGAGAATGGCGTGAACCCTGGGGGCCGGAGCCTGCAGTGAGCCGAGATCGTGCTACTGCATTCCAACCTGGGCGACAGTGAGACTCCATCTCAAAAAAAAAAAAAAAAAAAAAAAAAAAAAAGGAGAGATACAACAATAGATGCATTGAAATGGAAGTTAAGACTGCTACCTTGTCACTTTGGGCTCTTGAACCAACAAAGAAGTCACTTATTGTGCTGGCTGGAGGGATTGATCCTAACTACCCAGGAGAAATTGGACTACTTCCTTGTTATGGAGGTAAGTAAGAGGATGTCTGGGATACAGAAGGTCCCTGAATGTGTTTATAACCCTGCTCTGTGATTAGGGTAAATGCAAAACAACAACAAGCCAATCCAGGCAAAACTACTAATGGCTCAAACACTTCAGGAATAAAGCTTTGGATGACCCCGCCAGGTAAAAAAAAAAAAATACCATGACTAGCTGAGGTGCTACTGAAGGCAAAAGGAATATAGAATGAGTAGTGGAAGAAGATAGATACAAATGCTAGCTAGGGACACATGACCAATTGTAGAAACAAGGACTGTGACTGTCATGAGTATTTTTTCTCATTTTGTTATGAATACGTTTGTGTACGTATATAAATATATGTATATGTAAATTTCAGTATATAAGCAAGTATATCTGTTTTCTTTCCTCTCTTATTTCCTTATTATGTAACATAAAATGTGTTGACTTTATATACGGTATTTAAGTATTGTTAATTTACATCATAGCACCTCAGCTGGACATTCTTAATCTGGTGGGGTTATTCAAACTTTCATTCTAAGCTACTAATAGTAGTTAAGTTACAAAATGTCAAGGAGAAAAATAAACATTACTCAAGGCTTTGCCTCCTCTCCTGTGGGAGGTGTTAGTGCATTTTTAACTGTAGGCAGGGTAATTGTATAGTTGTATAAGTGGAATTATACTCTTGTTGTTGTCTTTATTTGTAAAGTAAATATGACTTAAGGAGACATATATGAGTGTCAAATTGACAAGGAGTGGGCTCGTGATGTTTAATTTTATATGTCAACGTGACTGAGCCACAGGGTGTCCAGATATTTGGTAAAATATTATTTTGCCATGTGTCTGTAAGATAGCCCTGCCCTGCCCTGCCCTGCCCTATCCTCCCCTCCCCTCCCCTCTCCTCCCTTCCCGCCCCTCCCCTCCCCTCTCCCTTCCCCTCTCCCTTCCCCTCTCCTTCCCTTCCTTTCCTTTTTTCAAACAGGGTCTTGTGCTGTTGCCTAGGCTGCAATGACATGGTCATAGCTCACTGCAGCCTTGACCTCCCAGACTCAAGTGATCCTCCCACTGCAGCCACCCAGGTAGCTGGGACACAATGCCTGGCTAATTTATTTCTATTTTTTATTTTTATTTTTTTCTGTAGAGATAAGATCTCACTATGTTGCTCAGACTGGTTTCCAACTCCTGAGCTCAAGTGATAACTCCTGCTTCAGCCTCCCAAAGTGCTAGGATTATAGTCATGAGCCACTGTGCCCTGCTGTAAGAGAGTTTCTGAATGAAATGAACATTTGCATCAGTAGACTGAGTAAAGCAGATTTCCTTTCCCAATGTGGGTGGGCTAGAATAAAATAAAAATGCTGAGTAAAAAAGAATTCTCTCAGCCTGACTGCCTTCTTCTCCTGCTTCTTTCTCCTTCTCTTGCCTTCAGACTTAAAGGCAGACTGAAACTCATGCCTTTGGCTTTGCTGGTTCTCAGGCCTTTGGACTCAGGCTGGAACTATACCATTGCCTCTCCTGATCTTTAGCCTATTTACTGCAGATTTGGGATTTCCCAGCTTCCATAAATGTGCGAGCCAATTCCTTATAACAATATCTCTATCTTTCACCATATATGTGTGTGTATTTATATATATGTATATATTTCTCTATAAAATCCTAATACAACTTAACATTCCTTAGTGTTTTTCGTAGGGCAATTTTTAATTTAATGAAATTAGCTAGTTAATTATTTATTTCATGGATCAAGACTTTGAAATTGTATCTAAAAAAAATTGCCACACCCACGAGATCATCTAGATTTTCGTCTGTGTTCTCTTCCAGGAGTTTTATAGCTTTGCATTTTGCATTTAGGCCTGTAAGCAATTTAAGATGAATTTTTGTGAAGATTTAAAGGTCTGTGTCTTTTTTATTTTTTTGCGTTTGGAGGTCCTGTTTCTCCAGCATCATTTCTTGAAAAGATTATCTTTTCTCCATTATATTGCCTTTACTCTTTTGTAAAAGATCTGTTGATATTTATATAAGTCTGTTTCTGGGTTCTGTATTCTGTTCAATTGATCTAGTTGTCAATTTTTCTCCCAACAGCACATTGTCTTTATTACTGTAGCTTTATAGTAAATCTTGAAGTTGGGTAGTATCAATTCTCTAATTTTGTTCTTATGCTTTAATATTGTGTTGGCTACTCTGTACTTTTTTCTGTCTGCATAAACTTCAGAATCAGTTTACAATATCCGCGAAATAACTTGCTGGGATTCTGACTGAGATTGTGTTGAATCTAAAGACCAAGTTTGGAAGAAGTGACATCTTGACAATACTGTTTCTTATTCATGAACGTGGAATATCTCTTCATTTATTTACTTTTCTTTGACTTCTTTCATCAGAATTTTGTAATTTTCCTCATACCAATCTTGTACATATTTTGTTAGACTTCTATCTACATATTTCATTTTTTGGATTGCTAATGTAAATTGTATTGTGTGTTTAATTTCAAATTCTAATTGTTCATTATTGATATGGAGGAAAGCATTGGCTTTTGTAAATTAAACTCGTTGCCTACAACTTTGTTATAATCACTTGTTAGTTCCCTGAGTACTTTTTGCCAATTCTACTAAATTTTCTACATAGATAAAGTCATCTGCAAACAAAGAGTTTTTATTTCTTCCTTCACAATCTGTGTATCTTTTTATTTTTTTCTTGTTTTATTATATTGGCAAGAACTTCCAGTATAATGTTGAAGAGGAGTGGTCAGAGTTGATATCTTTGCCTTGTTCTTGTCTTAGCTGGAAAACTTATAATTACTTACCATTGAGTATGATGTTAGCTGTAGGTTTTTTGTAGATGTTCATTTTCAAGTTGAAAAAGTTCACCTTCTGTTCCTAGTTTGCTGAGTTTTCATCATGAGTGGGTGTTGGATTTTTTTCAAATGTTTTTTCTGCATCTATTAATATAATCATGTAATTGTTCTTCTTTAGTCTATTGATGTGATAGATTATATTGATTTTTGAATTTAGAATCAGCCTTACATATCTGAGATAAATGTCACTTGGTCATAATGTATAATGGTTTTTATACATTGTTGAATTAGATTGCCTAATATTTTATTGAAAATTTTTATGTCAATTCTCATGAAAGATATTGATCTGTTGTTTTACTTTCTTATAAGGTTTTGAATTAGGGTAATACTGAACTAATAGGATGAGTTAGAAAGTAGTCCCTCTGCTTCTGTCTTCTGGAAGACATTGTAGAGAAAATTGTATATCTTTCTTAAAATTTTGATATATAATTCACCAGTGAACTCATCTGGTTCTGGTGTTTCTTGTTTGAAAATTTATTAATTATTAATTCAAATTCCATAATCAATATAGGCCTATTAATCTCATTTATTTCTTTTTATGTGAGTTTTGGCAGATTGTGGCTTTCAATAAATTGGTCCATTCAATTTAGATTATCAAATTTGTGAACATAATGTTGTTCATAATTTTTTTATTATACGTTTAATGTCTATGACATCTGTAGTGGTGTCATATATTTCATTTCTGATATTAGTAATTTTTCTCCTTCATTGTTTTTCCTAGCCTGGATAGAGACTTATCAGTTTTATTGAGTTTTTCTAATAACTAGTTTTAGGTTTTATTTCTTTTGTCTATTGATTTTATGCCTTTATTTCCACTGATTTTTACTTTGAGTTTTTTTTTTTTCTTTTCTTTTCTTCTGCTTACTTTGGGTTTAAATTGCTGTTCTTTTTCTAGTATCCTAAGAAGGAAGCTTTGATTATTGATATTTTGTCTTTCTTCTTTTGTATTATATGCATTCAGTGCTGTAAATTTCCCTGTAAGCACTGCTTTCACTGTATTCCACAGATTTGGGTATGTTATATTTTCATTTTAATTTTGTTTAAAATATTTTTAAATTTGTAAAAATATTTCTTCATTGATTCCTATGTCATTTAGAAGTATGTTGTTTAATCTCCAAGGGTTTTTGGTATTTTTTAGTTTTCTTTCTGTTATTGGATTGCAGCTTAATTCCACCATGGTCTGAGAGCAGACATTGCATAATTTATATTCTTTAAATTTGGTTAAGATGTATATTATAGCCCAGAATGTGGTCTGTCTTGTGAATATTCCATATGAGTTTGAGAAGAATGCGTATTCTTCTGTTTTTGCTTGAAGTAGTCTACACATGGCAATTATATCCAGTTAATGGATGATGCTGTTGAGTTCAGTTATGTCCTTAGCAATTGACTGCCTGTTGGATCTGTCTATTTCAGATAGAGGAGTACTGAAGTCTCTACCTATATAGTGGATTTATTTTATTTTTACTTGCATTTCTATCAGTTTTTGCCTCATGTATTTTGATACTCTGTTTTTATGGACATACCCATTAAGAATTGTAACATCTTCTTAGAGAATCAACCTATCATTAAGTAACACACGTCTTTATATCCAAAACCTTCTATTGCTCTGAAGTTTGCTCTATCTGAAATTAATATACTCACACTTGTTTTTAATTTTGATTAGCATTAGCATGATATATATTTCTCCATCTCTTTATCTTTAACCTATATGGTATCTTTATATTTAAACTGGTTTTCTACTAAGCAACATAGAGTTGGGTCTATATGATTTTTGATACACTCTGAAAATCTGTGTTTTTATTGGTGTATTTAGACCATTCATCTTTAAAGTGATTATTGATATAGATAGATGTATTAGTTCATTCTCACACGGCTATAAAGAACTTCCTGAAACTGTATTATTTATAAAGGAAAGAGGTTTAACCGACTTACAGTTAAGCATGGCTGGAGAAGCCTCAGGAAATTTACAATCATGGTGGAAGGCAAAGGAGAAACACAAACCTTCTTCAAATGGCAGCAGGAGAGAGAAGAGTAAAGAATGGAGGGGGAAGAGCCCTTTATAAAACCATAAGATCTTGTGAGAACTGACTCACTATCACAAGAACAGCAGTGGGAAAACTACCCCCATGATCCAATTACCTACACCTGGTCTCTCCCTTGATGTGTGCAGATTATGGGGATTATAATACAAAATGAGATTTGGGTGGGGACATAAATCCTAACCAAATCATTCTGTCCCTAGCTCTTCCTAAATTACGTGTCCCTTTCACATTTCAAAACCAATTATGCCTTCCCAACTGTCCCCCAAAGTCTTAATTCATTTAATAATTAACCCAAAATTTAAGTCCAAAGTCTCATCTGAGATGAAGCAAGTCCCTTCTGCCCAGGAGCCTGTAAAATCAAAAGCAAGTTAATTACTTCCAAGATAGAATGGGTTGCAGGCATTGGGTAAATGTTTCCATTCTAAAAGAGAGAAATTAGCAAAACAAAGGGGCCAAGGGTCCCATGCAAGTCTGAAATCCAGCTGGGCAGTCATAAACCTTAAAGTTCCAAAATGGTCTCCTTTGACTGACTCCATGTCTCACATCCAGGTCATGCTTCTGTAAGAGATGGGCTCCCATGACCTTGAGCAGCTCCACTCCTGTGGCTTTGCAGAGTACAGACACCCTCCTGGCTGCTTTCATGGGCCGGCATTGAGTGTCTGCAGCTTTTCCAGGTGCACAATGCAAGCTGTTGGTGAATCTACCATTCTGGGGTCTGGAAAATGGTGGCAGTCCTCTTTTCACACCTCCACTAGGCAGTGCCCCAGTGGGGACTCTGTGTGGGGGCTCCAACCCCACATTTTCCTTCTGTAGTGTCCTAGCAGAGGTTTTCAATGAGGGCTGTACTCCCCCAGCAAGCTTCTCTCTGGACATCCAGGCATTTCCATACATCCTCTGAAATCTAGGTGGAGGTTTCCCAAAGCTCAATTTTTGACTTCCGTGCACATGCAGGCCCAATACCATGTGTAAGCCACCAAGGCTTTGGGCTTGCACCCTCTGAAGCAATGGCCTGAGCTGTAAATTAGCCCCCTTTAGCCTTGGCTGGGATGCAGGGCACCAAGTACCCAGACTGCACAAAGCAGCGATGTCCTGAGTCCAGCACACAAAACCATTTTTCCTCCTAGGCCTCCAGGCCTGTGATGGGAAGGACTGCCATGAAGAAGACTTCTGACATGCTCTGGAGACATTTTTGCCATTGTCTTGGCAATTAACATTGAGCTTCTCATACTTATGCAAATTTCTGCAGCAGGCTTGAATTTCTTCCCAGGAAATAGATTTTTCTTTTCTATCACATTGTCAGGCTGCAAGTTTTCCAAACTTTAATGCTCTGCTTCCCTTTTAAGCATAAGTTCCAATTTCAGATTATCTCCCTCAAGTTCAAAGTTCCACAGATCTCTAGGGTAGGGGCAAATGGCTGCCAGTCTCTTTGCTAAAGCACAGCTAGAGTGAATTTGCTCCAATTCCCAGTAAGTTCGTCACCTCCATCTGAGATCACCTCAGCCTGGACTTCATTGTCCACATCACTATCAGCATTTTGGTCAAAAACATTCAACATGTCTCTAGGAAGTTCCAAACTTTCCCACATCTTGCTGTCTTCTTCTGAGCCCTTCAAACTGTTCCAACTTCTGCCTGTTCCCCAGTTCCAAAGTTGTTTCCACATTTTGGGGTATCTTTATAGTGGTACCCCACTCTCTGTGGTACCAATTTACTATTTTATTCTGTTCTCACACTGCTACAAATAACTTCTTGAGACTGGGTAAATTATAAAGGAAAGAGGTTTAATTGACTCACAGTTTAGCATGGCTAGGTAGGTCTCAGGAAACTTACAATCATGGTGGAAGGCACCTCTTCATGGGGTGGCAGGAGAGAGAATGCTGAGCAAAAGGGGAAGCCCCTTATTAAACCATCGGATCTTGTGAGAACTCACTGTCTATTATGAGAACTGCATGGGGGAAACTGTCCCTTTGAACCAATTTCCTCCACCTGGTCTTTCCCTTGATATATGGGTATTACAGGGATTATAATTCAAGATGAGCTTTGGGTGGGAACATAGAACTTAACCTTATTAATGGACTAATATCTACCATATTTGTTACTGTTTTTTATTTGTTGTCCTTTTTATTTGTTCTATTGTGTGTTGTACTCTTTTATTGCCTTTTTTTGCTTTAGCGAGCATTTTATGTGATTCCACTTTCTCCCCTTTTTAGCTTATCAATTAAGCCTCATTTCTTACTTTTTAAAAGGTTGTCCTAGAGTTTCCAATATACCTTTACAAATCATCCAAGTCTGCTTTCAAATAATTCTATCTCTTCATGGGTATAGCAAGTCCCTTATAAAAACAAAATAATCCTCATTCCCCTGTCATAGCTGTTATTTATTTCATTTATACATAAACATATATGTATATATATTATATACCTAAGCATACATAGTCAAACATTGTTTCTATAATTATTTTGAACGATTATCTGCTACATAAGAAGGATAAAAATAAAAATTTTAATTTTTTTTTTTTACTTATTTTTCTCTGGTGATTTCCCTTTCTTTATGTAGTCTGAGTTTCTGCACTATGTAATTTTCCTTCTCTCTGATACTTTTTAAAAATATTTCTTGCAAGACAGGTCTACAAGTAACAATTTCTCTCTCTTTTTGTTTGCCTGAGAAACTACTTTTTTTTCCTTCACTTTTGAAGGATAATTTCATAGTGTCCAAATTCTAGGTTGGTGGTTGTTTTTCTCTTAACCCCTGAAATATTTTGCTTCTGCTCTCTTCTTGCTAGCATTGTTTCTTATAAAAAGCCAGTTATATTTCTTATTTTTGTTTCCATATAAATAAGTTTTTTCTTCTGGTTTCTTTCAAGATTTTTTTCTGCAGTTTCATTTATGTATATTTTTATTACTTTGTTTGTTTTTTCATTTATGCTGCTTTGTGTTCTCTGAGCTTCCTGGACTGTAACATGGTGTGATATTGATTGCCTTTGGCAATTTGTCCATTATAGTTTTTCTGTCTTAGCCTTGATTTTTGTGATTTCTGGTCTGGTTCCTGTGAACATTTCTGCTCTTGTAAATTGTGATTTTCTTTATTTGCCTGTCTGTTTCTCCAGTTTAAGGGGGCAGTGGTTTACACTGTGACCTTATTTCTCTAACAAATCTAAGAACAGTTGTTGATTCTTTATTTTGTTTAGAATTTTACTTGTGTTAGGACAGACTGATTACTTCTAAACTCCTTATATGTCAGACTGGACACACTTTTTTTTTAAATCTTTTCCCAGTAGATTATTATTTATTTTGGCCCCATTTACTTCAAGAATTAGTCAACATAACATTTCCTGGTTTCAGATTATTTTCAATAACATGTTTCTGATTAATTATAAATGTCTGAATCAGTTACTTGCTTCATCTTATTTGTTAATAGAAAAAAATGTCATACAAGTGATAATGTTGGGAATGGTAATGCATTTGATATTATCAAGTTCATAGTCTTTCTATAAGATTCGATTTTTAGATATTTTGAAGTCCATAAATATATTTAATAATATCTGATTATGTTTATAATTTACATTTAGCAATTATTATAAGCAATAAAAACACACTAAAAATTGTCAGAACTGATAAAACAGAATGGTGAATGGCATCTAAATGGGACTTTGGTTGGGTAGTACTATCAATTGTTGCTATAATTAGATAAATTTATGAAGCATAAATTTAAAGAATAGGACTTCCATTTAATATTCGAGTATACTGAAATTCTTCAGATAAAAAGCACCTTAAAATGCTGGGTAAAATACAACAATCAGTCTTTTAAAGTAATTTGTGCTTGTAAGAAAATAAATTTCCTTGTGCTCTAAATTAAAAAGACTGAAAACCAGGGAGTTTAGTGTGTGCACTAAATGTTTCATAAACTAAGTGGAGTTTTTACCTGAGGATTCCCAGGGATGAAACTTGACTGTTTGAAGGTGACTTAACAGTATAAAATTACCGATTTTATCTGGATTCAAGCTATTGTAAGTAAAAGTCAACAGAAACTACAAACAAAATATTTGAATATGTGAGTATTTTAAATATTAACATTAACAAGCAGAGATAGAAAATCTCACTAAAATGTTTAAAGAAGGGTAAGATAAAATTCTTCCTTGTAATTAAGAAAGATTAGACCATCAAAAATTACCAAGCAGATTTGAGAAAATAAAAATATATGTTTCAGAAATTAAAAAAATAGAAATTTGAGTTATGAACTTAATGGTTAGTATAAACCATGAATTATACATTATTAAAAGTAATGTATACACTTAGTAATGTATGCATGTGTACATTTAGTAATGTACACATGTACATTTGGTAATGCAAGTATTTCTAAGTACACTTGAAAATTAATCAAAAAATTATCTAGTTCAAAATACAAAAATGAAGCTGAAAATATGGATGAAAAGTTAAGAAATATGGAAGACAGAATGAGAACATGTTTAATTGGAATTCTACAAGAATCAAATAGAGAGAGGACATTTTTTAAGAAGGAAGTAAACTGATTATTTCTGAACACCTCTCAGAATTGATGAAAAAAGAAGCCTTAACTACAGGTGATATGATACCTGCAATATTTGCCTATAAAATTCAAAGTTCAAACTGAATGTTCCTTTTAGCTACAGATAGCATTATTCTGAAATGCTTTGTTTCTCATGCAGTGGCCAATACCGGTGTGACATATAGTGGGTGCTTAGCAAATGTTTGTTAACTGAATGACTAGTCTCTTCATCGTATCTCTGTCCATCATAGCCACAAATGATATAGTAGGGCTTTATGGAGAACAATTATTATGATGTACATAAAGGTAACTTAAAATTGTAAAGTAGTATATACATACATTATTTGTAAATAGTAATAGTAGTACTTTAGGAATAGCAAAGGCAAGAGTGCTACCCTTGTTTTAAAATAATTTTAAATTGTACTTTAATCTGAACGTAAGGCTGGGCTTGTGTGAGATATAAAAGTCCCCACACCCACCTTATGCATGCCCAGTGGGATTATCTGATCTCATAGTGGTATCATAACACTTAGAGATTATGATTTATTAGTTTTATATGTATTGAGCAAAGATGTCATGCACTATACTAGGCAATGGGGAGATTGCAAAAATCATGTAAGTATGGTTCTTGCCTTTGAGAACTTCCAGTACAGTAAGAGAGGTGGAGCTAATATGATGTAATTACTGAGATACCTGAAATACTTTAGTCCTGAGAGGTCTTACGCAATTCAGATTTTGTTCCTGCTACTTCTTCATAACTTAAATTATGGTACAACCCAACTCTTCATACTTGTCACTGTCTTCTTTCCTGCCTTTTACCTTACAATACTCTTTTACGATTAAGTTTCCCACTTTGGCCAACAAGCCTTCCCAATCATCCTACCCCCCACAATGGGTTAAATATTCTCCACTCACTTTTAGAACACCCGGTTCATACTTTTCTTGATGCCCATTATATTATGATTGTACATACATACCCATCACTAGACTGTGAGTTCTTTTAGAGTGGGGATGTTACCTTATTCATCTATTGTCCCCATCATTTAATCAAACATCCAACACTTAGTAATAACTCAGTAAATACCTACTGAAATGAAATTTTAAAACTTCAGCTTGGGAGAAATGATAAATTATCTACAGCGAAATTACATTAGAATGAGTGGAATCATTAGAGCAACAATAGAAACCAAAACTATTTTGAGATAAAATACAGGTTAATCTAGCTAAATCCTTAAAGAAAAAAGAAAAATGTACAGATAAATTGAAAACGAAGAGCTTATCACTATCCAAATATTCTAAAAGGATGCTTGAAATGTATTTTTTAGGAAAAAGAAAAATGACTTCAAAGGAAATACTGAGATGCAAGGAAAAATAGCAAAGACGAAGTTAATAAACATATGGGTAAAATTCAGACAAACATTGGCCGTATAACACAATAATAATGAATAACACTGGGAGGCTAACAAAAGATATTAAAACCATGTAACATAATAAGTAAGAATAGAGAATACAATTGTTTTTATAATGTTTTAAGATCCTTGTATTTTGAGTATGTATAATAAAAATTAGGATAACCATTAAGAATAAAAAGCGTATATAATTTCCAAATGAACTAATTGGAAAATGAAGCTAAAAATCAGTCCACAAGAATGCAAAAACAAAAGAATAGAAAACAGGATGCTTAGCATAAGAGAACATAGTAGAAATAATTACATAAACATAAATTGATCAATTCATTAAGAGAGATTAGTTATAACATGAAGCTATTTATATACATTTTATAAACATGCAAAGAAGGTACTGTTCTTTATGGATTATACAGCTTTAGTAAAAATAAATAAATTTCTGAATAATCAATTTTTCACATAGGCCAGTGATTTTCTTAGGAGTACATTGAGCGTTTCATACATGATGCCCATTAGTTACTTCTTCATTCCTTTCATAGACGGGAAACATTTGCTAATATGTAGGTGAAAACCCAGATTGGATTTTAATCTGTTTTTGAATCAAGAAGTTGCTGCACTCAGTAATATTGCACATGGTAATTTTAATTATCAAAAACCATCTATGTATTGTAGTATTTCTACTGTATGTATTTTAGTTTTTTAGCCACCTGCTGTTTTAATGTTTGATGTAGTATCTTCGAATTATGGCTTGAAACATGACAAGAGCAAAGAAACTAATTTTCATAAGCAGCATCTTAGAAGTTGAGACATATCTTAGATCTGAGAGATGAGAAATGGCCTCAGATATGGGAAAACTGGAATGTAGAAAAACATTTAAGCTAGTATCTGGTTACAAGGATTTTCTATCTTCCTATTGCTCATTTTTAAGGGGGTGCTATTTTAGGTAATGTGAAGAGTAGAATGAATTCCCCTATTCTCCCAGTTTCCAACACCACAATCTGCACCATCTGTATTAAATGACACTTTTTGCCCAACGGAGCAATAGAATTTGTTATATTAGCTTTTGTGAGATAAATGACTTGTTGCAATCCTCCAGTTTAACTAACATGAAATTCTCACCATCCTATCATTCCTTAGACTAGTTTGAGTGTTGACAGAATGTTCACCAAAATCACTTCAGAGCCTGACACATAACACCCAATCAATGGTCTTCCTTTCTGCTCAATTTTTCTTTCTTCTGAAATATATTCTTTTACTTTTTGGATATTGATGAACAAATGCCTTGTTTTACTTTATTACATTTTTTCCAGTAACTTTGGAAAATTAATGGAGATATTTACAGATACTTTTTTATTATGATTATAGCTATGACATTTGGTTTACTTCATTACTCATCCTGTAGACACAAGGGAATATGGCTGAGGATAATAAGAGAGTATTAACTGCTGCAATCTCATACATTTCCAAAATTATGTTTTCTTACCCAAAACTAGCATGTTGCTTACAGAAAAATTAGAATATATAAAAACTAAAATATTAATCTAATCTCACCATCCAACAATAACCACTGATGTTCCCAATGGTAGTTTTTAAATGAAATTATTTGATTTGCAACCAGGTATAATAGACAAATGGAAAAATATCTAGATAAAGAAATATCTACATATATTATTTCTATCAAGCAATTTATCTTTCTATTTATTGCTTTAAACTGTAAATCAACAAAGAATACTTAATAATTCTCTTGCAATTAGAAGGTAAACTTTTTTTAGATAATTTTACAATTGTTTTAAAGTTATAAGTTGTATATAAATTTGAAAGTAAGAATTTTATGTTTCAACTTTGAAGTAAGTTGCCTTTATTGTAATCATCTGATCCACAGGTGAGTATCTGCTGGTGTTGGCGGTAACATAACTTGAATTCTGAAGTTGTTTCATTTGTGATTTTTTAATGACCTGTTTGCCTCTTAGATTTAGTATTTTTAGACTCACCTGCAATATTTCAAAAAATCCAATTTGATTAGTCATGTATACCCTATTCTAAAAATGTTCACTTTTTTATTATTCAAGATAGGCAGGGTTAATGAAACTCTTCTAGGATATCTTAAAGTTTATGTACATAATAATGATTCATCGACAAAAGTTAGAAATGTTGCACATTTTTCAGGACACCGACTTTTAAAAAATTATACAAAGGAGATAACAGAAATAATATTACAAACCGATTTGCCTGAATAAGTCCTACTACATAGATTGTCAAGTTGAATTAAACTTCATTTTAGGGGCTGTAATCAATAGTCAAATAAAAGCTTACTGGGATTTGAGGAATTTCATATTCAAGTTTCCAACACTTCCTCTAACAAAATAAGGATCTGAATAAATCAACTACAGAACAAAGACATCCATCAAGTCAGACATATACTATGAATTTTTTGGACATTATTAAAAAATACTTTTTTCTCTGTTGTTTTCCCTTCCATTTCCTGAAAATTTTGGAGTAACACGATTTTCTTTGTTCTAATTTTCTATTTTTGAAGGTTATAAGGATATAAGTTAAAAATATGCTATTTTCAAGTGTGTTTGGTAAAGTATGTTATTATTGCATGCTTTTCCAGGACTTCATAAAGTTAAAAATTGAATAAATCACAACATTTAAAAAAGGCAGAGATGTTAGTTGAGCAGGGCACTTTCTAAAAGTGAGTTGCTCAGGCAGTTGTCTGATTCACATGAATTTGTGAAAAATCTCTCCTTAAATTTGGAAGGGAGAGCTGCACTAACAATAAATCCTTTTTTGGTTAAACAAAATCAATAATAGAGTTCTAAAACACAATCAATAACACAATGTTAAACTAAATCTAATTAATAAAAACTACTAGTTTTATACTAAACTAATCTAAAAATACTTTATAATTTATATTTTTAGAATATAGCAATTTAACCATTTGGGTAACTCAATTGTCCTGATGTGATTATATTCAAAACATTAATTAGAACACATACCATTAGAAAGATGCCAATAAAACAAATCAAATGCAAGGTTTCTTTGCTCATTTTCAATATTAGCTTAAATTTTGCCTTATGTTTTTCACTGCATGAGACTGTGTCCTAGTGGAGAATGGAAGTGATTCTGAGGCAAACACTCTTTTTTTTTTTTTTTTTTTTGAGATGAGTCTCGCTTTGTTGCCCAGGCTGGAGTGCAGTGGTGACATCTCGGCTCACTGCAAGCTTCGCCTCCCGGGTTCACACCATTCTCCTGCCTCAGCCTACCAAGTAGCTGGGACTACAGGCGCCCGCCACCACGCCCGGCTAGTTTTTTGTATTTTCAGTAGAGACGGGATTTCACCATGTTAGCCAGGATGGTCTCGATCTCCTGACCTCGTGATCTGCCTGCCTCGGCCTCCCAACATGCTGGGATTACAGGCGTGAGCCAGCAAACACTCTTTAATTAAAATCACTGTTTTCTTGATTAATAGTATATGACTTTGGTCAAAAAAACTCCTCAGTTTTCTCACATGTAAAATAGTAACAGTAGCAATAATACTACCTTTGTCTCAAAGGATTAAATTATATAACCTATAGAAACACAATGGATAACTATAACACATACAAATTTGATAGAGAGTCTTCCATAGATGTTCCCATAGGTGTTATTGCTTCCACAGGTGTCTCAGACTTGCATTGCTCACATTGCTTGATTTTCTACTCATCTAGCTGAGATAAGAATTATTTGTCTTCATAATTTATTGAATCAGATCAGGCAAATGTTTTCTGAGTCTGAAAAGATTTTCCTTCCATGGTCTAGAATTTAGATTTCTGTTTATTTTAAGTATATTGTGTTGGTCCGGTACCGCTGTTTATTTTTATTTTTATTTTTTGAGACAGGGTCCTACTCTGTCACTCAGGCTGGAGAGCAGTGGCATGAACATGGCTCATTGTAGCCTCTACCTCTGGGGCCCAAGTAATCCTCCCATTTCAGCCCCCCAAGTAGGTGGGACCACAGGCACCACCATACCCAGCTAATTACATTTTTTTTTTTTTTTTTTGTAGAGAGGGGTCTCACCATGTTGCTCAGGCTGTTCTCAAACTTCTGGGCTCAAGGTATTCACCTGCCTTGCTCTCCCAAAGTGTTGGGACTATAGGTGTGAGCCACTGCATCTGGCCCCAGTGTTTTATTGACTGGCAGGTTGAATGATTTACTCATGAGAATTCTAAATAAAACAATCCATAGTATTTTATCAGCAAGATATTGCCTAGATATATGTTCCTATATAATGAAAGTTTTATTCTTGAGGTAAATTTATTAGGAATATTTGATTGATAGTAAAAATAAGAGTCCATTTTTCTCCTGCTTTGAGTTAGGTCATTTGATCTCACAATCTATTGACATAAGCATACTTAAAGTACTGAGTTTTACTATGCCAGTTTTATAAATAATATAACAGGCATAGGTTAAAGTGTTTGTTTGCACAAATTGACACTAGTGGAACTGGAATTTAAATGTAAACTTTCCCACCCCAAATACAGTGGTTTTCCCATTATGCTTTAATTCCTTTATTTATTATGTTTTATTTTGGTTTTATATTGATGAGATACAGTGTGTGCTTCAACACATATGTATATTGTGCCATAATCAATTTAGGGAAATTAGTGCATCTGTCATCTCAACCACTTGCCATTTCTTTGTGGTAAGAACATTTAAGACCCTCTTTTCTAGCTATTTTTGAAGTATATATTATTACCAACTCTAGTCACCCTACTGTAACAGTTCTCATTTATTTTATGATTTAAAAAACTATTTATTGAGCACCAGCTGCAATCGGTATTGCACTATGCACTGGAAATACAGAGGTGAACAAAGCAGGCCAGTTCCTATAGTTATGGAACTTAGAGTCTTGTGTCTCAAGATAACAGTTACATTAGTTGCCTAAGAGGATTGTCATTTCAACCCACAAACCCTGGTGCTCTTCAGAAAGAACACATTTGCTAGAACCCTCAGTGCTTTGAGCAAGAGTCTATTGATGTGATTTCTCTTTCCAGTGTGGTCATATAAGGATCCAAACATCCTTCAAAATAATAGCAATGTATACTGAACAAATTACAAAACAAAAACAAAGCCAGAAGGCCCTAGAGAGTGAAGAAAGGCAGGCACCTTCTAGAATGGAGTTGAAATTTGAAAGAAGAGAGCAGCATTGGATAAATTTCTCAGTTTTCATGATTTTTAGCTTAGAGGTAGGCTGAAATTAGCACCAATTAGGGTGACTAAAACTCCTAATGAAACCCCAATCTTTTTATGACCTAAAGAATGTGAGGACAGTGTTTGGGGAACCAGAGTCACTAGAAAGTGAGAGTGGACTTCCTCTCTTCCTATTTGAATACTCTGTATTTTTTTCTTTTGCCGGATTGCCCTAGCCAGAACTTCCAATACTATGTTGAATAGGAGTGGTGAGAGAGGGCATCCTTGTCTTGTGCCAGTTTTCAAAGGGAATGCTTATAAATCATTCCGCTATAAAGACACATGCACACGTATGTTTATTGCAGCACTATTCACAATAGCAAAGACTTGGAACCAACCCAAATGCCCATCAGTGATAGACTGAATTAAGAAAATGTGGCACATATACACCATGGAATACTATGCAGCCACAAAAAAGGATGACTTCAGGTCCTTTATAGGGACATGGATGAAGCTGGAAACTATCATTCTCAGCAAACTAACACAGGAACAGAAAACCAAACACCACATGCTCTCACTCATAGGTGGGAGTTGAAGAATGAGAACACATGGATACAAGGAGGGGAATATCACACACCAGGGCCTGTTGGGAGGTGGGGGGCTAGGGGAGGGATAGCATAAGGAGAAAGACCTAAATGTAGATGACGGGTTGATGGGTGGTGCAAACCACCAAGGCACGTGTATATCTATGTAACGAACCTGCACATTCTGCACGTGTCCCAAAATTTAAAGTATAATTTTTTTAAAAAAGAAAGAAGCCAGTATGAAAAGCTGTCATATTATCCTAGCTATATGACATTCTAGAAAAGGCAAGATAAAGAAAACAAAGAGATCAGTTGTTACCAATGATTCAGGGGAAGACAAAGATTGATAGGAAGGGGA